>NC_000007.14:152943228-153094743 GCF_000001405.40 Homo sapiens
AATCATATCGTCAGCAAATAATGACGGTTTGATTTCCTCTTTGTGTCGTCACACAAAGATTTGGGTGCCCTTTATTTCTTTCTCTTGTCTGATTGCTCTGCCTAGGACTTCCAGAAATATGTTGAAGAAGAGTGGGGAGAGTGGGAGTCCTTGTCTTGTTCCAATTCTTAGAAGGAATGCTTTCAACTTTTCCCCATTCAGTATTATGTTGGCTGTGGGTTTGTCACAGATGGCTTTTATTACATTAAGGTACGTCTTTTGTGTGCTGATTTTGTTGAGAGTTTTAATCATAAAGCGATGCTGGATTTTGTCAAATGCTTTTTCTGCATCTATTGAGATGATCATGTGATTTTTGTTTTTAATTCTGTTTATGTGGTGTATCACATTTGTTGACTTCTGTATGTTAAACCATCCCTGCATACCTGATATGAAACCCACTTGATCATGGTGAATTATATTTTTGATATATTGTTGGATTTGGTTAGCTGGTATTTTGTTAAGGATGTTAGTATCTAAGTTTATTAGGGATATTGGTCTATAGTTTTCTTTTTTGGTTATGTCCTTTCCTGGTTTTGGTATTAGGGTGATACTGGCTTTATAGAATGATTTAGGGAGGGTTCTGTCTTTCTCTGTCTTGTGGAACAGTGTCAATAGGTTTGGTACCAATTCTTCTTTGAATGTCTGGTAGAATTCTGCTGTGAATTGGTCTGGTCCTGGACTTTTTTTCTTTGTAATTTTAAAATTACCATTTCAATCTTGCTGCTTGTTATTGGTTTGTTCAGGGTATCTAATTCTTCCTGATTTAAGCTAGGAAGGTTGTACCTTTCCAGGAATTTATCCATCTCTTCTAGCTTTTCTAGTTTATGCCTGTAAAGGTGTTCATAGTAGCCTTGAATGATCTTTTGTATTTCTGTGATGTCAGTTGTAGTATCTCCCATTTTGTTTCTTATTGAACTTATTTGAATTTTCTCTCATCCTGGCTAATCTTGCCAATGGTCTATCATTTTATTTATCTTTTCAAAGAACCAGCTTTTTGTTTCATTTATCCTTTGCATTTTTTTTTTTGGTTTCAATTTCACTTAGTTCTGCTCTGATCTTGGTTATTTCCTTTCTTCTACTGGGTTTGGGTTTTGTTTTTTCTTGTTTCTCTAATTCCTTGAGATGTGACCTTAGATTGTCCGTTTGTGCTCTTTCAGACTTTTTGATGTAGGTGTTTAGGGCTATGAACACTCCTTTTAGCACTGTCTTTGCTGTATCCCAGAGGTTTTGATAGGTTGTGTCACTATTGTCATTCAGTGTGAAGAACTGTTTGATTTCCATCTTGATTTCATTTTTGACCTAGTGATCATTCAGGAGCAGGTTATTTGATTTCTATGTATTTGGATGATTTTCAAGCTTCCTTTTGGAGTTGATTTCCAGTTTTATTTCACTGTGGTCTCAGAGAGTGCTTGATATCATTTCAATTTTCTTAAATTTATTGAAGCTCATTTTGTGGCCTATCATATTGTCTATCTTGGAGAAAGTTCCTTGCGCCATTGAATAGAATATGTATTCTGCAGTTGTTGGATGGAATGTTCTGTATATATCTGTTAAGTCCATTTGTTCCAGGGTATAGTTTAAATCCATCATTTCTTTGTTGGCTTTCTGTCTTGATGACCTGTCTAGTGCTGTCAGTGGAGTACTGAAGTTCCCCACTATTATTGTGTTGCTGTCTATCTCATTTCTTAGGTCTACTAGTAATATCTTCATAAATTTGGGAGCTCTGGTGTTACGTGCATATATGTTTAGGATTGTGATATTTTCCTGTTGGACAAGCCCTTTTATCATTATATAATGTCTCTCTTTGCCTTTTTTAACTGCTGTTGCTTTAAAGTTTGTTTTGTCTGATACAAGAATATCTACTTCTGCTCGCTTTTGGTGTCCATTTGCATGAAATGTCTTTTTCCACCCCTTTACCTTAAGTTTATATGAGTCCTTATTATGTGTTAGGTGAGTCTCTTGAAGGCAGTGGATGGTTGGTGAGTTCTTATCCATTATACAATTCTGTGTCTTTTAAGTGGAGCATTTAGGCCATTTGCATTCAATGTTAGTATTGAGATCTGAGGGACCATTGTATTCGTCATGCTCTTCGTTGCCTGTATACTTATTTTTTTGTTTTTGTTTTTCAAACTGTATTTTTGTTTTATAGATCCTGTGAGATTTATGCTTTAAAGAGATTCTGTTTTGATGTGTTTCCAGGATTTGTTTCAAGATTTAGAGCTCCTTTTAGCAGTTCTTGTAGTGGTTGCTTGGTAGTGGCAAATTCTCTCAGCATTTGTTCTTCTGAAAAAGACTGTATCTTTCCTTCATATACGAAGCTTAGTTTCACTGGATAAAAAATTTTTGGCTGATAATTGTTTTGTTTGAGGAGGCTGAAGATAGGACCCCAATCCTTTCTAGCTTGTAGGGTTTCTCCTGAGAAGTCTGCTGTTATTCTGATAGGTTTTCCTTTATAGGTTACCTGGTGCTTCTGTCTCACAGCTCTTAAGATTCTTCCCTTTGTCTTAACTTTAGATCACTTTATGACAATGTGCCTAGGCAATGATCTTTTTGTGATGAATTTCCCAGGTGTTTTTTGTGCTTCTTGTATTTGGATGTCTTGGTCTTTAGCAAGGCTGGAGAAGTTTTCCTCGATTATTGCCTCAAATATGTTTTCCAAACTTTTAGATTTCTCTTCTTCCTCAGGAATACCAATTATTCTTAGGTTTGGTTGTTTAATGTAATCTCAAACTTCTTGGAGGCTTTGTTCATATTTTCCTATTATTTTTTCTTTGTCTTTGTTGGATTGGGTTAATTCAAATACCTTGTCTTTGAGCTCTGAATTTCTTTATTCTACTTGTTTGATTCTATTGCTGAGACTGCAGAGCATTTTGCATTTCTATAAGGGTATCCATTGTTTCTTGAAGTTTTGATTGTTTTATATTTATAGTATGTATTTCACTAAATATTTCTCCCTTCACTTCATGTGTCATTTTTTGGATTTCCTTACATTGGGCTTCACTTTTCTCTGGTGCCTCCCTGATCAGCTTAATAACTAACCTCCTGAATTCTTTTTCAGGTAAATTAGGGATTTCTTGGTTTGGATTCATTGCTGGTGAGTTACTGTGATTTTTTGGGGCTGTTAAAGAACCTCCTTTTGTCATATTACCACGGTTGGCTTTCTGGTTTCTTCTTATTTGGGTAGGCCCTGTCAGAGGGAAGGTCTAGGGCTGAAGGCTGTTGTTCAGATTTTTTGTCCCATGGGGTATTCCCTTGATGTAGTACTCCCCCCATTTTCCTTGGGATATGGCTTCCTGAAAGCCAAGCTGTCGTGATTGTTGTCTCTCTTCTGGATCCAGTCACCCAGCAAGTCTACCAGGCTCTGGGCCGGTACTGGGGGTTGTCTGCACAGAGTCCTGTGATGTGAACCATCTTGTGGTTCTCTCAGCTGTGGATACCAGCACCTGTTCTGGTGGAGGTGGCATGGAGGTGAAATGGACTCTGTGAGGGTTCTTAGCTTTGGTGGTTTAATGCATTATTTTTGTGCTGGTTGGCCTCCTGCCAGGAGGTGGCACTTTCCAGAGAACATCAGCTATGGTATTATGGGGAGGAACAGGAGGTGGGCAGGGCCCTAGAACTCCCAAGAGTATATGCCCTTGTCTTCAGTTACCAGAGTGGGTAGGGAAGGACCATTGGGTGGGGGCACGGCTAGTCATGTCTGAGCTCAGACTCTCCTTGGGTGAGTCTTGCTGTGGCTGCTGTGGGAGATGGGGGTGACATTCCCGGGTCAATGGAGTTATGTTCCTAGGAGGATTATGGCTGCCTTTATTGTGTCGTGCAGGTTGTCAGGGAAGTGAGGGAGAGCCAGCAGTCACAGGCCTCACCCAGCTCCCAAAGAATCCGAAGGCCTGGTCTCACTCCCACTGTGCCCCTCACCAACAGCACTGAGTCGGTTTCCAGACAGTGGGCAAGCAGGGCAGAGAACTTGCCCCAGGCTACCCACCTCCCAGCTGTGAATGCAAGTATGGCTTTGCTTCTTCCCCTGCTTGTGGAGTCTGCACACCGGATTCATACCCTCCCCCAAGTTCTGGCCAGGACACTTCTTGATCAGTTCAAACTGTTACAAAGTTCAGCTGAAGATTCCCTTCTCCCTGTGGCCTTTTACTAGTGCCTCTGGCCACCCTGCTGAAGGACCCCTGTGAGGCCAGGCAGAAATGGTTTGCTAGGGGACCCAGTGAGCTCACAGGGCTTTTGCCGCTGCTTCCTCTACCCCTGTATTTTGCTCAGCTCTCTAAATTGACTCAGCTCCAGGCAGGGTCAGAATCTTCTCCTGTAATCTAGACCTTCAGTTTCCCCACTAGGGGTGTGTATGTGGCGGCAGATGATCTCCCTTTCCCACTTCCACAGTTTGGGCACTCACTGTATTTGGGGTGTCTCCCGGGTCCTGCAGGAGCCATCCACTTCCTTCAGAGGGTCTGTGGGTCCTCTTGGGTTTCCTGATTTATTCCTGCAGTCGTCCTGGAGCAAAAATTCACAGTGTGAGCTTCCATATGCTGCTCTGTCTGTCCAAGTCAGAGCTGCAATCTAGTCCTGCCTCCTGTCTGCCATGCTCCCTCCATTTTAGGTTTTTGCTATTATAAGTAACACTGGTATGAACACTTCCATACAAGTTTCTTTGTGTGAACATGTTTTCATTTCTCTGGGATAAATGCCCAAGAATATGTTTTTTGGGTTATGTGATATGTGCATGTTTAGTTTTATAAGAAATGGCTCAAACATTTTCCAGAGTGGCTGTATGGTTTATGTTACCACCAGTAATAAGGTTGTTCCCAGTTTCTCTGCATCCTCATCAGCATTTGGATTGGAATGGGTTCTCTGCTCCCACAGGATGGAAAACAACTTTCCTCCCCTATTCCAAATTTCCAGAGATAGAGACTAGAGAGAAAGGGATAGAAAGTGGACCTGCAATTACACAGTTAAAAAAACTTCAAATAATATTGAAATAAATATTTTTGTACATAGACTTCTTTGTTGTTTATTTAGTTATCACAGTGGTTAGGTACAAGACTTCCAAGTACTACTTTTTACCTTCTCTGCACTCTTTTCTCCCATCTGTGGGCTACCCCTGCTTAGGGGCTTACCTTAATCTTGCTAGGGTGGTAGGAGAGTGTCAGGGAAGTTATGGCTACCTCTCCCTCCACCACTACTGCTACTGCCACTATTACCATTACTGCCACTACCACTACCATTGCTGCTACATACTAAAATCACTACTACCATTACTACCACCCCATAACAACTCTTACCACCACCATTCCTACTATCATTACTCCTACCATTTCTATCACTACTACTACAACTGTTACCACCACCACTACCACTGTCGCCACTATTACCATCCTCATGACTACTACCACTACCATGCTGCCACTACTCCCTCTACTACTGCCATTACCTTTGCCACTACTACTACCGTTGTTACCATGATCACTCCTCACACCAGCACAACCACCACGAGTGTTTGCCGTGAGTCAGACACTCTGCTGAACATTTACAGTATCTGATCACATTTACTCCTCATGGCAACTCTACAGTAATTTATCATTTCCAGGTTAAAGGTAAGGAACCTGGGGTTTCAAGGATTCCTCTTGAGTTCAGCATCAAATTGGCACCACTGTTGGCTCCACTCTGAATTTTAAAATAATTTTGATTTTAGATTCGGGGCACATGTGCTTGTTTGTTACATGGGTTCTGCATGCATAATGGCAGGGTTTGGGCTTCTAGTGTACTCCTCACCCAAGTACTGGACATTGTACTGAGTAGGTAACTCTTCAACCCTCACCCCCCTCACCCCCCTCACTCTCTCAGTGAGGGGTCACTGAGACTCAGAGTCTATTTTCTCCATCTTTATGTCCATGTGTACCTTTTGTTGAGCTCCCACTTAGAGGTGAGAAACTTGTGATATTTGATTTTCTGTTTCTGTGATAGTTCACTTTTTACAATAATGGCTTCCAGCTCCATCTGTGTTGCTGCAAAGGACATGATTACATTCTTTTTTTATGGCTGTGTAGTGTTTTATGGTGTATATATATTACATTTTCTTTATCCAGTCAACCATTGATGGACACTTAGATTGGTTCCATGACTTTGCTTTTGTGAATAGTGCTGCAATAAACACACGGGTGCAGGTGTCTTTTTTATATAATGACTTCTTTCCTTTGGGTTGATGCCCAGTAGTGGGATTGCTGGATCAAACGGAAGTTCTATTTTTAGTTCTTTGAGAAATCTCTATACTGTTTTCGTAGGGGTTGTACTAACTTACATTCTTGCCAACAGTGTATGAGTGTTCCCTTTTCTCTGCATCCATGCCAACATCTGTTGTTTTCTGACTTTAATAAAAACCATTCTGACAGATGTTAGATGGTATTTCAGTGTGGTTTTGCTTTGCATCTCTCTGACAATCATCCCCGTTGACTTCGGTACCCAGTAGCTGACTTGCCGTCTTACTCCCTTGGCCAGTTTCCTTCAATCCTTAGCTTGTAAACTCATCTCTTCCTCCCTCCGACCCCCATCCATCCTCTAGGACTGACAGGGCATCTCTCAGGTGCTAGGCTCTGTCAGCTCTCAATGAGCCTTAGTCTGGAGAAAGTCTCCTGGGGAAGAACCCATCAGGACAGTGACCACAGTGACCACAGTGAGGGTGTAAGTAAGGGCGACACATGCAGCAGGCTCCACACCTCTGCTCCCTGGTACTGCCTGTCCTGCCTTGCACTCTGGTCTTTTGAAGAAACCGATTTCTCTCAATAACTGAATTTTTAATTACCTTCTGGAATTCCGGTTTTCCTTGCTGACTTCCTGTCCTTATCTCTTCAAGATAAGACTTCAAGTCTTATCTGACTTGCTGATTGAACCATCTCCTAGCTCTGGAGCTAGGAGATGGAAAAACGATATTAACTTTATGTGCTTGGAACATAAAGCATATTAACAATTATCATTTTTATTTTATTTTTTAAAAAGTTGGACCAAAATATTAACATTTAAATAATTGCAAACATATTTATTATAATTTACAGATTAGTTAGTTATACACACAAATATAATTTTAGTTATAAAATCCCAACAAAATAGTTACATTTAAATCACTGGATGTGTAGAAGCCAATTTAGAAGTCTTCTGGTCCCCTAAGTTCACCATCCTTAAATTATAAAAAAAAAAAAAAAAAAGTGATCATTTTGATTTCAAGTGAAAGATGAGGAGGTGTTGTTATCACATTTCATCATTCAAAAATGAAAATTTTATCTATCTGTACGAAGCCGTTCACAGCCTACATGGACACTTAAAGCACCATTGCAAGATTTCAAATGTGTAAAATATTTAATTAAAACCTCCAAGGGGGTGGGCGTGGTGGCTCATGCCTGTAATCCCAGCACTTTGGGAGGCCGAGGCAAGCGGATCATGAGGTCAAGAGATCCACACCATGGTGAAACCCCGTCTCTACTAAAAATACAAAAAATTAGCCAGGTGTGGTGGCGGGCGCCTGTAGTCTCAGCTACTCGGGAGGCTGAGGCAGGAGAATGGCATGGACCCGGGAGGCGGAGCTTGCAGTGAGCCGAGATCGCACCACTGCACTCCATCCTGGGTGACAAAGTGAGAACCCATCTCAAAAAAAAAAAAAAAAAAGAAACGTCCAAGTATTTTCTTTGGGAGTTTAACTTTGTTCTAACAACTAGAATTGTGATGAAACTAACAATAATTTTGTTTTTCTCCTTCAGTCTAATTTTAAAATAGTTCTTTCTGTCCTTCCCATAACCATTTACTTATAAAGGAGAGTAGTATATGGAAGAATTCTTAACCAAGTGTTTGCCCATTTTGTAGTGAGGTTGGAATCCCATGGCGATATGGTTTGCTGTGTCCCCACCCAAATCTCATCTTGAATTATAACTCCCATAATCCCCACATGTCATGGGAGGGACCCTGTGGGAGGTAATTGAATCATAAGGGCGGGGCTTTCCTGTGTTTTCTTGTGATAGTGAATGTCTCATGGGATCCTATGTTGTTTTATAAAGGGCAGTTCCCCTGCACACGCTCTTTTGCCTGCTGCCATGTAAGACATACCTTTGCTTCTCCTTTGCCTTCCACCATGATTGTGAGGCCTCCCCAGCCACGTGGAACTGTGAGTTCATTAAACCTCTTTTTCTTTATAAATTACTCCATCTCTAGTATGTCTTTATAGCAGTGTGAGAATGGACTAATACACATGGGGAACAATTTTCCAAAATCCAATGAAAAATGTCCCATTATTTTCAAATATGCAGAGGTGCTAGATTTCAGAAACACAAAATACAACCTAAGTCCCTGAAATAAAATAGTATGCTTTAGCATGTTTTAAAAGAAAGTGTGTGCATTGTCAGAAAGCTTTTCTCAAGGCAAATGATGTGAGCTTTCCGACTAACATAGCTGGTGCTGCAAAGTAGACGGTTTCCAGGGTATGATAGCAGACTCTGTAAATGCATTCCCTGTCATTACCTAGGAGGGCCATAACACACCTAGAATAAAGGCTCTGAGAAATCTGACCAACTCTTGTGGTGCTGCACTCTCTGTGTGTTTCTGTATGGGCACGTAAACACTGGAGGCAGTTCTTAGGGCAAACCAGATAGAAATAAAATCATGACCAGGTAGATTACAAAGTGAGGTGCCAACCCCGCAGGCAGTTAGGATGAAAAATCCATCACCACACTGAAATAAGCTCAAAGTTAAGGTCGTCTATTTTAACAAATATAGTTTGTAATGAATGAATGAAACTCTCTTGACTCCATGTTCTAAGTTGACTTTTACAGAATCTCTGGATTCTGCTAATGACACTGATTCCCATCGGCCCTTCCCCGCCTCGGCCCTTCCCCGCCTCGGCCCTTCCCCACCTCCACCCACTCTTGGTGTTGTGTGTTGCCCACCACTCTAGCCCCGTGGCTCTTACCATGTCCTGGCTACAGCCATCCTTAGAATTTCTGCGTGAGTCCCAAGACAACAAATGCCTGGCTTTGCCTGTGTGCCCCAGAAGCCTTGTTCTGTCCAGTTCTGCACGCTGCCTGACCTGGACGTCGGGTGTCAGAAGGCCCACTCCCTTACTCTGACCCGGCAGTGTGGGGAAGGAGAAATGCCATTTCTGATTAGATGGAAGAGACATGGCTCTTTTGATGCAGTTAGATTTCACAATAGTAAGACATTTGAAATTATTTTCTTGTAGGGTTTTGATTTGTTTTCAGTTAGATTGAAAAATAATGAGGCAAGTGGGGATACTTTTAAGTTCTGCTGCCGTCTGGAGGGAATTAATTTGTCCCTTTGTAATTGAAGATTAGATCCAAAGATGATTTTTAGCTGGAGGCCTTCTTAAGGCATGTTGAAATCTTGCCAATCAAACATTTTAAGTGTTTTTTTTTCTTTTTTTGAATTTCTTTTTTGTTATTTTCTGGCTGATTGAGGCACAGACAGATGGAGTTTTTTCTAATGGTCTGGCTGATGCCTGGAAATAATATGCCTTTTCTTTTTCTCCTGAGTAATAAAAACAATACCAACATGTCTTCTTTGTGTGGGATAACGGATCAGTTGGAGTAAATGCTAGAAGTTATTGGGGAGGTGGAGTGGAGTG
Organism: Homo sapiens; assembly: GCF_000001405.40. Taxonomy (NCBI): domain Eukaryota; kingdom Metazoa; phylum Chordata; class Mammalia; order Primates; family Hominidae; genus Homo; species Homo sapiens. Next base: position 152,952,893 of record NC_000007.14, read on the forward strand.
GAGTCAGGGTCCAGGTTCTGGAGCTGGACTGCCTAGGTGTGAGACTGTGCTGCTTATAAGCTGTGTGACCTTGGGCAAATTACTTAATCTCTCTATTTTCACATTTTCTCATCTAAAAAAGGAGGATGGCAATGAGACATCTCTTGGGTTGATGTGAAGATTAAAAATATTTATAACTCAGAACAATGTCCTGGTACATTATAAGCATAATAATAATCATCTTAAGCATGTTATTTCCTTTCTGGGAAATAGTATAATTAGTGGAAGAGTCTAACCACCTTTTTGTAAGAGCTCTGAGCATTGAAGGCATGTAGAAGAGCAGCTAGCTGGCTCCATAACTTGACACTTTTTGATAATAACTGATGTGCATTGAGAATTTTGTGTGTGCCAAACACTTCACAAAATATTTCGGCTGTGCCAGCCACGTCATCCCCCCACTAGCCCCATGAGGTGGGTACCGCTCTTGTTCACACAGAGGAGGGCACTGACATTTACTGGGCTTCTGTGCATCTCCCAAGGTTACAAACACAATGAATGGCAGAGCAGGGACCAAATCTAGATTTAAATGACATCAGAACATTTGCTGATAACAATAATCCCCAATGGCCTCTTTTGTGCAGTCAACAACAAATGACCTATTGGGAAATTTAGGAATAACCCTAAAAAATCATTCCTAACCCATCCTCTAACCTGACTTGCCCTCCAAGTGATGCCCGATTTTCTGTCTAGTTAAGTTTCATTAAAGAAATTACAAAAAAGGGACCAGATTGCTCTCATTGGAATAATGATGTAATGTGTGAGAACATGGTGGCATACAGTACCTAGGCAGCATTCACTTATTCATTTACTCAATAAACATTTATGCATCATCTGCGGGCTGTAAGCTCTGGCCAAGGGTAGGCAAAGAGGGATGACAATTGATATCTGCTCTGTGGTACCTTCAGTTTAGCGGGACCTTCCTCATCTGCAGTAATATCTGCAACAGAGGCCAGATTCTAACGAACTTGAGAAATAAGAATTTTGGTCATTTCTTTCTGAAGCGCTGTTACCGGTGGAGGGTGTCCAGGTTCTTGGCATCTTGAACAAAGAACTGGACAAAACGCACAAACAAAGCAAGGAAGGAATGAAGGGATTTACTGAAATTGAAAGTATGCTCCACAGTATGGGAGTGCACCCCAGCATAGGGGCTCAAGGGCCCCATTGCAGAATTTTGTGGAGTTTAAGTACCCTCTAGAGGTTTCCACTGGTTACTCGGTATACGCCCTATGTACACCAAGTACATCCCTGGGAGAGGATGAAGTGGTAAACTTACAAAGTCATTTCCTCGGGGTGCTCCCTATGGAGAGGATATCTCCTGTCATAGCTGAAGTGTGAATCAGCCTTAGGTTCCGTGCCTCCAGACCCTATTTTCCTGCCTCAGCACTGCAACCTAAGTCAAGTTTCCCCCAAATTGTACTGAACATAAACTAACAAACCTACTTCACTTGGGCCTCCGAACACAGCATTTTTTTTCTTTTTCTTTTTCTTTCTTTTTTTTTTTTTTTGAGACAGAGTCTCGCTTTGTCGCCCAGGCTGGAGTGCAGTGGCGCGATCTTGGCTCACTGCAACCTCCGCCTCCTGGGTTCAAGTGATTCTCCTGCCTCAGCCTCCTGAGTAGCTGGGATTACAGGCGCGAACCACCACACCCGGCTAATTTTTGTGTTTTTAGTACAGACGGGGTTTCACCATGTTGGCCACACTGGTTTTGAACTCCTGACCTCAAGTGATCTGCCCATCACAGCCTCCCAAAGTGCTGGGATTACAGGCATGAGCCACCTCGCCCAGTCCAAGTACAATGGTTCTTTTCCTTTTACATTTTAGATTTCGGAATGGGCAGCATTCTTGTATGGTTGGGTGTGTTCCCTCAAGCAGAACCATTTAAGGCTGCCTGAGAAGTTACTTCTGCTTAAATATTCCATTTTCCCTCTCAGAGATGGTTTCACTCCAGACACTTGAGTCTTAAGCTGAGACCATGGAGAAGCTTTAATTGTGGGGTTTAAAACAGATCTTCAGCTTCATGAACACGAGTGCTCTGGCCAGCTTAGGGGGGCCAGGAAGCCCCCAGGAGGGGCAGCCACGCTGGCTGGTTTGTTTGATGGCCTTGAGAAATGCCACCTGCTTTGCTCCTGAGTATGGCTGCCATGCTACAGTATATTTCACAAGAAACTAGGTCCAGTGCCCCTCAGTCTACAGGCTTCATTTCAGAATATTCTCTTTGGAGCTTTCTTAGCAAGGCTAATTATTTCATAAAGTGTTAGGAAAAATCATAGCCCATTGATTTGTAAAAGTGTGTGAGGCTGAGCTCCTGGAGGAAATTTATCTAATTCCTGCAGGAAATGGAGAGATATTGGTCACCTGGTACAAAGGTTCAGTTGTATGATGAACAAGTTCTGGGATCTAACATGCAGCACAGTGACTCCATTTAATCATACTGTATTGTATACTTGAGATTTGCTATGAGAATAGATCTTAAATATTCTCACTACACTCACAAAAAATGTGAGGTGATGGATAGGTTAATTAGCTTGATCATGGTGATTATTTAACAATGTATATATCTATCAAAACATCATGTTGTACACTGTAAATATATTTAATTTCTATTTGTCTATCATAGCTCAATAAAAATAGAAAAAAAATTTAAAAATGTCTGCAAATTCAGTGGACACAAGAAGAGACTCAGGAGTTGTCAAGTCAAATAAGCAGATATTTTGATCTGAAAGCAAGCGTAAAGGTGACCCTAACTCATGTATTTGCTAAGAGTTGCTCCTAGTGAATGGGCACCAACTTGAGTCAGATGCAGGAGAAACCTCCTTCCTCTGATACTCTGTCCAGCAGAGCCCAATAGTGGATTCTGGAAAGTTAGCAACAGGTAAAAGTTCCAAGCCTGCAGCTTGAAAACATCCTTATTTGGTTTCCTTTCCTCTTTTCCCAACTTTCTTCCTAATCCCACCCAAATTTATTCTTTCTGTGTTTCAGACTTTCATTCACTCATTCATTCACTCACTCATTCCATAGCAAGAGGGCAGACTTTATTTTCTGGGTTGGTTTTGACTGAGCCCTGTGCTCTAGCCCATGGGCTGGTAATGGATGCGCTACCAAAAAAGTGTCTCATTGGTCATGTATGTTCTAGAATCTCCAGGTTGATTACAGTTACACACATTTCTTTGCTGGAGAGCCTCTTGGAGCCTTTAATATGCTGATGAGTGTTGTCAGTCTCTAAGAGGAGGCTACTATAAACCATTTTGCAAACTCAGGGTTTTCCTTGCCACTCCTCTGGGGGCGCCGGGCACACGGCAGTCTGTCTTCCCCAGAGTTGTGCAGCAGATGGCCTGCATGGATACACTTGAGGCTCTGCTCCTTAGCCCTTTATTGCTCAACTGTTTTGTGCTTGTTTTTTATTTTACCTGTAACATGGATATGTATAATAAAAAAGCAAGACATTCATTCTGTTCACTCTCCCAATTCATTTCCAGAATTCATACAATCAATTCTGCTATAAGCATTCCTAAAAGTTACCATGTTATGCAAAATTGTGCAGTAAAAGCGACAGGGCTTCCATGAGAAATGAGTTAGAGGAATAACACTCAAAACTATCAGTGACATGTTAAGAAATATGGCGCTTAGGCCGAGTGCGGTGGCTCACGCCAGTAATCCCAGCACTTTGGGAGGCTGAGGTGGGCGGATCACGAGGTCAGGAGATCAAGACCATCCTGGCTAACACGGTAAAATCCCATCTCTACTAAAAATGTAAAAAATTAGCCGGGTGTGGTGGCGGACGCCTGTAGTCCCAGCTACTCGGGAGGCTGAGGCAGGAGAATGGCATGAACCCAGGAGGCTGGAGTTTGCAGTGAGCTGAGATCGCACCACTGCACTCCAGCCTGAGTGACAGAGTGAGACTCCATCTCAAAAAAAAAAAAAAAAATGGCACTTAATAAAAACAGTAGCTCAATTGTTTACATGTTAAATGGTTTAGGAATACAACATGCTACGATCAATATGGCACTTTTAAAAAGCTTGAATGTTGGGCTGGGCATGGTGGCTCACAGGGGAGGCCAAGGTGGGCAGATTACTTGAGCCCAGGAGTTTGAGACCAGCCTGGCCAACATGGCAAAACCTCATCTCTACAAAAAATATAAAAATTAGCCTGGCGTGGTGGTGGACTTCTGTAATCCCAGTGACTCGGGAGGCTGAGGTGGGAGGATTGCTTGAGCCTCGGAGGTTGAGGATGCAGTGAGCTGAGATTGCAGCGCTGCGCTCCAGCCTGGGTGACAGAATGAGACCCTGTCTCAAAAAAGTAAAGTTGGAATTTTGTTTGTGAACACGCGTGTCAGAAAGATTTCAGTTTGTGAATGATCGTGAAGTGGTGGAAGGGAGGGTCCTCTGATGTGGAAGGACAGTTGTGACACCAAATGTGGATGGATGGAGCCTGTAACAATGGTGTGAGCTGAGGCAGCCAGGAGATTCTTGAGAGGGTGTGTGCGCACACGTGCGTGTCCTGTGTGTTCCTCTCGTGCTTGGTTAAGCTGGGAGCAGATTTCTGCAGATATTTTGTGTTTCTGGTGGACAAAATCACAAAATAAGCAAATGCAAAATTCTCATTATGTTCAAATTGTTCCCTAATATGTCAAACACATTGGAACAAATGTGCATTTTTAAGACAAGGATTTAAGACAAGCAGAACTGAATATAGTGTTAATATTTCAGAGTGTTTCTTGCGCTGAACACGTCCACACACACGGCCTTCTTCTTTTCCTTAAATAGCATTATTCCACACTTATGTAACTTATATTTATTTGCTTACTTATAGCATGGCTTTTTTCTCTTCCAGGATATGTAGCTCTGTCTTAATTTTTTTCTATGTGGTTTAGTTTCCCAGGGCATATATGTGCTATAATTAATTAATTAGTTTTATTTTATTATTTTTTTTTAGACAGAGTCTTACTCTGTCACCCAGGCTGGAGTGCAGTGGCATGATCTCGGCTCACTGCAACCTCTGCCTCCTGGGTTCAAGCGATTCTACTGCCTCAGCCTCTCGAGTAGCTGCGATTACAGGCACGCGCCACTACACCAGCTAATTTTTGTATTTTCAATAGAGACGGGGTTTCACCATGTTGGCTAGGCTGGTCTCAAACTGCTGACCTCAGATGATCCACCTGCCTTGGTCCCCCAAAATGTACCATAATTTATTTAAGTTCCCCCTCCCAGCCCCTTTCTTTTTGAGACAGGGTCTCACTCTATTGCTCAGGCTGGAGTGCAGTGGCGTGATCGTAGCTCACTGCAGCCTCAAACTCATGGACTCAAGTGATCCTCCTGCCTCATCCTCCCAAATAGCTGGGACCACAGCACACCACCACACCTAGCTGTTTTTTATTTTTATTTTTTAAGAGTCAGGGTTTCACTGTGTTGCCCAGGCTGAACATTTTTCCCTTCTGATAGTCACTTAAGTTTTTACCATTTATTTATTTTACTGTTATAAGTTGCAGTGAAGACTATTCTTTAAGACTATTATTTAAGAAAGAATAATCTTCCGTGAAGGCTACCCCTGCTGTCGCTTGGGCTATAGGAAGCTGGAAAGAATGTTACTCCCACTCTTACAACAACAAAAAAGTTAATTGTTTGACAATCTCCAAATTCACAATGTTTCTTGAATTCATTAAAGAGCTAAGTCACAGGGCAACCGACTAACCTGAAACCTCAGGGGAGACAAGGATGTCTAAGGAGAGAAGAGGCATGAGCACTTGTCTGCCTCGAGCAGATGCTGCCAGACACCTATGAGAAAGTCTGAAGGAATTAATTCACATTTCTAATGAATTGCTAAAGCCTAGTGTGGGCTAGCATGAGAATATGAACCCCCTGAGAGCTGCAGGGGACTTGTGCCCTCTCATGGACTCTGTCCCCAGACCTCCTGGCGACAGGGAGACAGTCTTAAGGAAGCCTGCCTCACGGCCGGCCGACCTGGGGAGGGGCCACCCAGGTGCTGCAGCACAGAGTGGACCCCCATCTGGGTCCTCCTCCCCCATCTCCCCTGCAGAGAAAAAGCCTCAAGCCACACAGGGGAAAGCTGCAACCCCCTTACCCTAGAACCCTAGCCAAGATCCCCTGCATCAGGAGGGCAGGGGACAGGGAAAAACCCTCTTCCCTTGAGGGAGGGGTAGGAACGCATCCTGGGCTCTGACCATTAGCGATCTCCTGCCACCAGGAGCAGGGTAGGGTCACTGAGAAGACCCCATTCCCAAGAACTAGGGACACAGTCTTGTTTAAGACGTAGGCTGAATTAGAACAAGAGAAAATGCACCCCTCTGCCTCCTGCCAGCCTGAGTGTTGAGTAACAAGCAAAGCTGACAGGGAAAGGGTATGTGTATTAGGGTTCTATAGAGGGACAGAACTAATGGAATAAATATATAGATATAAAGGGGAGCTTATTAAGTATTAACTCCCATGATCACAAGGTCCCACAATAGGCCGTCTGCAGGCTGAGGAGCAAGGAGAGCCAGTCCAAGTTCCAAACTGAAGAACTTGGAGTCTGATGTTCAAGCACGGCAGAAAGATGTAGGCTGGGAGGCGAGGCCAGTCTCTCTTTTCACATGTTTCTGCCTGCTTATATTCTAGCTATGCTGGCAGCTGATTAGATTGCGCCCACCCAGATTAAGGGTGGTCTGTCTTTCCCAGCCCACTGACTCAAATGCTAATCTCCTTTGGCAACACTCTCACAGACACACTCAGGATCAATACTTTGTATCCTTCAATCCAATCCAGTTGACACTCAATATTAACCATCACAGCATGGAAAGACCCTCTTTGCCGTGTGAGCACAAAAAGAAGACTCAAGGCTGAGAATAGAGCTGACGTCTTGTGACCCAGCCCCAGCCCTAAACACAAGGTGGCACTAAAGGGGTTGGAAGTCTGTGGTGTACCGGGGTATCCACAGTCACAACAAAACTGCAATCCACGCAGAGTCCTAACTAGTTCAGCTAACTCCCTGCCCACACACTAAAGGCCTAGCAAAAGGCCCATTTCTGGGCATAAAACCTATTTACCTTGTTGTCTACTGTCTACACGAGCTATCTAGCTTTCAACAGAAAATTATGAGGCATAAAGAAGCAAGAAAAAACCACACACTAAGAAACAAGGCAATCAGTAGAACCAAACTGGGGCATGAAACAGATGTTAGAACTATAGATAAGACATTTTAGAAGCTATGCTACAGGCTCTAGTGGGAAATGTGATCAATGTGCATGATTGGGTAGGTAAACTCTGAGAAAAAAGTCAAATGGAAATGCTCCAAGAGCTTACCAGCCGGCTTGATACAGCTGGAGAAAGAAAGAATGAGTGAAATTAAACACAGGTCAATAGAAATAACACAAATCAAAACACAAAGAGAGGCCAGGCACGATGGCTCATGCCTGTAATCCCAGCACTTCGGGAGGTGAAGGTGCGTGGGTCACTCGAGGTCAGGAGTTTGAGACCAGGCTGGCCAACATGGTGAAACCCTGAATCTACTAAAAATACAAAAATTAGCCAGTCATGGTGGTGTGCAACTGTAGTCCCAGCTACTTGGGAGGCTGAGGCAAAATAATTGCTTGAACCTGGGAGGTGGAGGTTGCAATGAGCTGAGATCATGCCACTGCACTCTAGCCTGGGCAACAGAGCGATACTCTGTCTCAAAAAAAAAAAAAAAAAAAAAGAAAAATGAACGAATTAAACAGAATAGTGGCTCATGGGTGTAATCACAATGCTTTGGGAGCCCATGGCAGGAGGATCACTTGAGGCTGGGAGTTTGAGATCAGCCTAGGCAACATAGTGAGACCCCATCTCTACAAAATTAAAAAATAAAAAAATTGGCCAGATGTGGTGGCACAAGCCTGTAGTCCCAGCTAAGCTACTTAGGAGGCTGAGGTGGGAGGATCACTTGACCCTAGAAATTCAAGGCTGCAGTGAGCCATAATTGTTCCACTGTACTCCAGCCTGGGTGACAGAACAAGACCCTGTCTCTAAAAACAAACAAATCAACAACAACAAAAAACAGGATAGAACATTCAAGAGCTGTGGGACAATATGAAATGACATGAAATAGGTGTAACTGGAATCTCAAAAGAAGAGAGAGAGAATGGGGAAGAAAAAATTTTTGAACAGATAATGGCTGAGAATTTCCAAAGCTAATGGTGGGCATCAAACCACAGATCCAAGAAGCTCTAAGAAAGTCAAGAAGGATAAATATAAAAAAAACCCAAAGCTAAACATAGCCTATTCAAAGTGTGAAAACCAAAGACAAAGAGAAAGGCAGCTAGAGAAATAAAGACACATTGCATACAGAGGAACCATAAAAATTACAGCAGATCACTCATCAGAAACTGCGTGTTATGGACTGCCCTGTGTCCCTCCCAAACCCATACGCTGAATCTGTAACCCCCAACGTGACTGCATTTGTGTCTATAATAATAATTGAAAAGTGCTAGACATGGTATAAATAAAGGCACATATAAAATTCATTTTTCTTCTTTTAATTGCTCTGAAAAACAACTGATTGTCTAAAGCAAGTATAATAGCAATTTGTTGTGCATTTATAGCATATGTGCCAGCTGCACGAAGGACAGAAGGGAGAAATTAGGGGTGTGCTGTTTTAAGGTCCTCACATGACACAGGATGTGGCATAATATTTCAAGGTAGGATCTAATTCATTAAAGAGATGTACACCTTAGGACAACCATACAAAATAAAAAGATATAAATAGGCCAATAGTGAAGATGAAATGTGATCATAAAAATATTAAATTAATCTAAAGGCAGAAAATGGGGAAAATAAAACAACACATAGGAACAAATGGAATACAGCTAAGATGGTAGATATTAATCCAACCATATTAATAATTACATTAAGTATAAATGGTCTAAACAGATTATGAGATGATGGATTGTCAGACTGAATAATAAAGTAAGACCCAAATGTATGATGTCTACAAGAAACCCACTCTAAACATAAAGATGTAGACAAGTTAAAGGATAGAAGAAATAGTCCAAGAAAACATGACTTACATATACACCATGGAATACTATGCAGCCATAAAAAAGGTTGAGTCCATGTCTTTTGTAGGAACATGGATAAAGCTGGAAACCACCATTCTCAGCAAACTAACACAGGAACAGAAAACCAAACACTGCATGTTCTCACTCGTAAGTGGGAGCTGAACGATGAGAACACATGGACACAGGGAGGGGAACATCACACCCTGGGGCCTGTTGGAGGGTAGGGGGCTAAGGGAAGGATAGCATTAGGAGAAATACCTAATGTAGATGACGGGTTGATGGGTGCAGCAAACCACCATGGCACGTGTATGCCTATGTAACAAACCTGCACAATCTGCACACGTACCCCAGAACTTAAAGTATAATAATAATAATAACAATTAAAAAACATAACTCAAAGAAAGCTGAAATAGTTATATTAATTTAGATACAGTGGACTTCACAACAAGAGCTATTACCAAGGGTAATGGGGATGGCATATGATAGAGGGATCGATTCTTTGTAAGACATAACAACCCTAAATGTACATGTAATGGACAACACGTGTGTTGCCAAAACTTTAAGGATAAAAGGAAGTATCAACAGATGTGCAATAACAGTAGGAGGGGCCACATTGCCATGTACCTTCTTCCATGTCAGGCTTTACACCCTTCTGGGGGGATTTGTGTATAAGATGGTCCTAAAATTATAGTTGCTGGAATCCTTTTTTGTTTTCTTTCTCATAAAACACTTTAAGGTACTAAAGTTCCCCAAAACTTGCCTGAGACAAGTGATTTAGAGTCTTTTTAAGCAAACTTGACTTGGGTGACTTTATGGCAGTGGCAGTTAGCCACAGTCAGTAAAGGCATCAGCACTGTGCCATTTAAGTGCTATTGATCGCACTGGGGAGTATTGGACGATAAGAAGCAGGAAGACGTAGTTTTTGTCAATGGGATCATTTAAAAAACATGGGGGAGCATCAGTATTAAAAATGCTCCTATTAAAATTAAAATTTCTTTTTACCAGTAAAATAATCATTATTTTTACTATCACATTGGGGATTAAGTAAAAGAAAGCCATTATTTTGGGGGCAAGTTACTTATTTATAGTATTTAAACCTGGTTTCTTACAGAGGTGTACAATGATGCCCAATCTGCGTCCATTAATCTCACCAATTCCACCCTTGTGGAGATGACAGTGAAGATGGTATTATCACCCTAAGCAACCTTGCTTCTGAAAAGATGTCTCATTTTTTATCATTGCTTTGAACTGAGGTCAGTAGGGGCAAGTGCTGTCATCTCTGTCTTCCAGGTCCAAAAGCTAAAACCCAGTGAGGGCGAGCAGAAAACAGGGTTTGAATCCATGTTTCCTGCCATCCAGTTGAGAAAGTTTTCCGACTAAGCTGATGAGGTCTGGGAATTCTTGATTCTGCTGGAGTCTGGAGCAACCCATGCAGTCAGATGGCCAGGAGTCAGAGCCTAGACTTGCTCTTTCTCTTGTATCTCTTCTCTTTTGCTCCATTGATTTAGGTAAATTAATGAACCACAAGGACTGCTGAGAAAAAGTTAGGTATTTCCAGGGTTAAATTTTAACAATAGAGAATGAAGTTTGGGACTAAACTTAACATGCTTTTATCTTCAAAATGACCCCTGACAGCACCCTCAAAGACAAAACATGGGGCTGTGCCAAGATGTGCCAAGGCTGGGAGGGGGTGCTAATGATCTCATAAGCAGCTGACCACAGTAGTTTGAATGCTAGGCCATATTTCTAAATATTTCCAAAACCAGAATGGACAGCATCCTGGCAGTATGTGCTGTATTCTCAGGGGCCTGTGAATTTTATAAAGCAAATGTGTTTGTGGTTTCATTTTAATTGCAATCTTAAAAGACATGAGCATGTTCCGGGTCCCTGGGTTACGCCTTATAACTATGTACTGCTGTGCAACTTTGGTACCTAAATTTGCCTAAATTTGAGTTTATGCTAATATTGAGGCCAAGTAATGTGCTAAATTGATAAGATTTAACTTTAAAATATTTATTTTGAAGTATAACTTACATATAGCAAAGGGTACAAATCTTAAATGAAAAGGAGATATATATATATACATGTACATATATATGTGTATATATATGTGTGTGTGTGTGTACATATATATAGATGTGTGTGTATATGTGTGTGTGTGTGTGTGTGTGTGTGTGTGTGTGTATCGGCATAGCCACCACTTTGAGATCAAGATAGAGTAATGCTTACAGCACCCAGAAGCCTCCTTTGTGGCTCTTTCCTAAGTCAGCACTATTTCTTCTTTTCTTCCTGCACAGTTCCCCACCATAGATAAAGAGCTTTCTGACTTTCCTCACCTTTGATAAGTTTTACCTCTATGTATCATTATATGTACAATTGTTTTGTGTTTTCATCTTTTGCTCATGATTATGTCTATGAGATTCAACCATGCTGTGCATGGAGTAGACCAGTTTGTTATCGCTATGCACTGTACCAGTGTATAATTATGTCACAATAATTCAAATCCATTCTACTCTTCATAGGCAATTGATTTGTTTCCAGTTTTATGCAAATGATAAATAAAGCTGTAATATATTCATGGCTATAACTTTTGGCAGTCGTATGCACTCAGTTCTGTTGGGCATATATCTAAAAGTGGTATTGATGGGTGATAGAGTAATGGCATGTTTAGCATCAGTAGATACTGCAGTTGCTCCAAATCCTCACCAACACTTGGTACTGTCAGTCTTTAATTTTAGTCATTCTGGTGGGTGTGTGATAACTCAGTGTAGCTTTAATTTGCATTTATCTGATGAGTAATGATACTGACAACTTGTCATATGCTTTTGGCCTTTTGGACATCCTTTTTGGTAAATTGCCTGTTTAAGTCTATTACCTACTTTAAAAAAGTGGGTCATTTGATTTTTTCTTAATGATTTGTAGAAGTTTTACATATTGTGTACACAGGTCCTTTGTCAAATATATGTATCTCTTAGTCTATGTCTTGCCTTTTCAGTTTCTTAGTGGTATCTTTTGGTGAATAAAAGTTTCTTTTTAGTTGCTGAGAATGGGGCAGAAAAAATAAGTTCTTAATTGTGATGCAGTCGAATTTGTCAATATTGTCTTTTATGTTTAGAGGTTTTTGTGTTCTGTGTAAGAAATTTTCCCTCCCCCATGGGAGTATTCTGCTGTGTTTCTCCTAAAAGGTTTAGCGTTTTACTTTTCACAGTTACGTCTATGATCCAATTTGAATCAAGTTTTATATGCTGTACAAATTGGAAGATGAGGCTTATCACGTCCCACACAGGTGTCCAGTTAACTGGGCTGGTCTTCCAGGGGCACTTGTGCTGGAAATTAACTTGTGATAAGTTAGTATACCTGTAGGTCTAGGACTCTTTTTCCCCCACCTTAGGAAGAAACGTTTAATAGGGACTTACTAACAGAAGCCACGTCTGTGTCTCGGGCAGTGGTGAGACAAGATGGTGGATACCCATACCATATTTCCTTTTGAGCTATAAATAGCTATAAATAGCTCAAAAGGAAAAAGATTTTCCTGACTCATCTTCAATCACAGTAGCGGCTTTCTAAACAAGATGTTGTCCATTTACCTTGGAGCTGCCCTCCACCAACCACACAGCTCTTTGTCAGTCACGTGAGAGGCATTTATCAGGCACTGTAAATTCCAGCAGCTCCTCACACAGTTCCTAGGGGAAAAAGGCCTCCTGCTTGTGAATATCTCCTCTGTGCCCTCCCCAGGTATCAAGATCCTATGTAAACCATGTCCGTCTTATCATGGAACCCTTTTGGGCATTGCTGTTCCTCTTAGGATAAGGGTAGCTTCAGTTAACATCTCATAGCAAGGCAGTAAGTGCCCCTCAAGTGGAAATTCTCTAGTCCAGTGGTCCCCAACCTTTTTGGCATCAAGGACCATTTTGTGGAAGACAAATTTTCCATGGACGACTGGGGTCGGGGGGATGTTTTTGGGATGATTCAAGCACATTACATTTATTGTGCACTTTATTTCTATTATGATTACATTGTAATGTATAATGAAATAACTATACATCTCACCATAATGTAGAATCTGTGGGAGCCCGGAGCTTCTTTTCCTGCAGCTGGATGGTCCCATCTTGGGGTGATAGGAGACAGTGACTGATCATCAGGCATTAGAGTCTCATAAGGAGCATGCAACCTAGATCCCTTGCATGTGTGGTTCACGATAGGGTTCTTGCTCTTATGAGAATCTAATGCTGCTGCTGATCTGACAGGAGGTGGAGCTCAGGTAGTAATACGAGCGATGGGGGGCGGCTGTAAATATAGATGAAGCTTTGCTTGCTCACCTGCCACTCATCTCCTGCTGTGAGGCCCAGTTCCAAACAGGCCACAGAGTGGTACTGGCTAACGGTCTGGGGGTTGGGGACCCTTGCTCTAGTCCAAAGTACCAGTAGTCAAAGTTGGGAGGCGCTAATAGGCTTTTGTTGTAAGCCCCAGTAAATGTTCCACAAAGGGCCACCAGGTGCAGAATTTGTCCTGACCAGCACTTCAGCTTCTCCACTCTCTGTGGGCTTGGACAATCTTACTGGTTCCCATTTAGTCCAATTAATATTAATTAATATTTTTCACAGGGCAGCTTTACATACCTTCTGGGTTGTTTTTTTTTTTTGAGATGGAATCTCACTCTGTTGCCCAGGCTGGAGTGCAGTGATACAATCTTGGCTCACTGCAACCTCTGCCCTCTGAGTTCAAGCAATTCTTCTGCCTCAGCCTCCCAAGTAGCTGGGATTACAGGTGCCTGCCACCGCGCTCGGCTAATTTTTTGTATTTTTAGTAGAGATTGGGTTTCACTATGTTGGCCAGGCTGGTCTAGAACTCCTGACCTCATGATCTGCCCACCTCAGCCTCCCAAAGTGCTGGGATTACAGGCGTGAGCCACCGCGTCTGGCCCATACCTTCTGTTTTATAGTACCAGGTAGAGGAAACATTCCCCAGTTGGATACTATATCCATTTTTAGAGACTGTTTAACTAAAGAAGACAAAACTACTCTCCATAAAGCCTGTGTAAACATTTTCACTTTCATAATCCTATCAACCCTTACATTTTTATGTTCCAGTCCTAGGAACTTCTTTTATCTACCCCCAGACCATTTTACCTTCTGTTGTGAAAAAGGGTTTGGGTCCCCAGCAACTCTTAAAACTCTGCTAAGATGTAGGCATGGTTTTTATCATCCCTTCCTGCTCAGGGGTCATGTGGTTGAGCCAAGAGACTTGGGGACCCTTTTGTCAATCTTAGCTTGACATCAACATTGCCCCAGACAGTTGTTGGTCAGCTTTCTCATTGCAATCTTTGCCCTCTAATTAAAAAGAGAAATCTCTAATCTGGGGGTAAATACAGAAAACTTGTTTGGGGCCCCTTAGTGTTGGGAGACCAGCAGGGGCTCCCTTTGGTTCACCCAGTCTTCTGTATTGTTGTATTAAGACCTTTTGTTTAACCTCATCGGTTTCCATTTTATTCATTGCATTTCTTAATAACTGTATACATATTTCTACCCTGTTGGGGTAGGTCCATGACTCTTCCCTCTCATTAATTAACCTAATATTTTTATTAGCATTTGTAAGATAAGGCTTCTCCAATTGTTAGATTCTGCCAGAATAACATGAGGTGCCCATATAGAAGGGGCCCTATTCACCATAGCACTTACCATGACCTGGGTAACAGGCATATTCCCTGGGTGAAAGTCCCTGTCATCATAAAGCAAATCCCCCACGGCTTGCATACAAAACATATCAACTGCATCATCTAGGGTGCTTCACTTGGCATTTATAGGGAGGGTTGCATTACATACAGTAGGTAGTCAGGCAGGCATGAGCAGGGCAGGAATGTCAGGTGACCATCAGGTGATAGGCAATTGCTAAGCTGGCTCTTTAAAATAATAATTGGTTAGAGCTGGTGCCAGAGAAAGGCAATCTCCTAATAGATAGAAAAAACCTGAAGCTGGTGCTAGCGGCTTCCCAGTAAGATCTCAGGAGCTGGGTGAGTGGGCTCAAGCATATGCATTAAAAGGCAAAGAGGCAGGGTTTAACCAGTATATGACCTTCCTCTAGGAATGCTCAGCTAGTAAGGGAAGAAGGCCTCGAATGAGCATCTGCACAACTTCAGTAAACACACTGTGCATGTGGCCCCTCCCAAGTGCTGGCAGGCCAGTACACATGCAGACAGCCTGCCCCCAGGAAAAATCAAGGGAGAAGTAATGCAATCCTGGAAGCATGCCAGCATATGAAACCTCAAGTCAAAGGTCAAACAGAGCACTTAACTCTCTCAAGTTGCTTGCTTGGCTGTCTTCCAAGTATTCTTCCTTTCATTCCTGCTCTAAAACTTTTTAATAAATGTGCACTCCTCCACTAAAACTTGCCTTGGTTTCTCACTCTGCCTTATGGCCCTCAGTCAAATTCTTTCTTCTGAGGAGGCAAGAATTGAGTTGCTGAAGACCCATATGGATTCACCACTGCCAATAATAGTTTAACTTGAAAGCAAGGATGCTAATAGTCCCCCACCCAAACTAATCCCCTCCTGGCTTAGGGACCGAAAATCACCTTCATGAGACTAATAAAAGGCCACAAGAATAGGATTATGGAAGGGGCCTGAGTTCTGATAAATGTTGGTATAGTTTCTATAACCCCTTGCTGCTCAGAAGTCATGTGGCCAGATGTCACAAGATTTGTGGCTTACCCAGTTGCTCCTATAGATAACATTACTACTGCAGAACCTAAGATTGCTTTTTGAGATATTTTTCAGATGGGCCCCATCCAGATTCATGATTCATGACTCAGCTTGTCCTGTGGCCCCACCCAAAAGTGGACTCAGTGCACGAGGACCATTTTCCACACCCCTGTGATTTCATGTCCAGTCAATCAGCAACTCTATTCCCTAGCCCCTTGCCCACCAATTGTCCATAAAAATCCTAACTTCCGAGGCTTCAGAGAAACTGATTTGAGTGGTAACTCCAGTTCTCTTGTGTGGGTTGGCCTTCTGTCAGTTAAACTTTACTGCAATACTGTGGTCTCAGGATTACTTAGTTTAACATGACTTTAAGACTTCAAATTACTCAAGAGAATTTTGAAACTAGTTTATTTACCAAAGATTACCAAAGTCACATGAACTAAAAGATATTTGAGCTAGCTTCTATTTTTTAAAATAAAAATTTGATTTAAGCACTTGATTTTTCCTTAAGCCAATTGATTAGAGCCCTTTCATATGTTTTGGTAGTGAAATGTCACATACTCATGACACATATAAGCATATAGACAGATGCTATATACATCTGTCTATATGTATGTATATAACAGATGTATATGTATGTATATAAGCATATAACAGATGCACAGAAGCAGATCTTATGAATTTATAAGACTTTTCACTCACCAGTTTTCAAAAAGTTTATTCCCTATCTTAGAGTATTAATCTCTTGCATATCTGTTCCATGCATCTCCAAAGGCAGGACTCAGGAGAAACAAGATAGAAAGTTTACCTCTCAAAGACACAGGACTCGGATCTAAACAAAAGCAAGGTTTCTTATGTAAACTCTAAGCCATTGTCTTCCCATAGTGAACATTCCTAGTGGCTTAAGTGCAGTGACAGAGATGCCCTTACAAATGGAGATTTCCTTTAAAGATGTAAATTTCTTCTACAAAGAGTTTCAAAGACTGATTTAGTTTGATAAGTGGTCTTTTTTTCCCCTCTAAAATACTTAGCTTTATTAGAGAAATGGTACTAAAATAACAGATTCCAACAACATTTGCTGTATTTCTACTTATATATCATAAATAAGACAGCTGTTGATGCAAGACACCCTCTTTCACAATCTTTCCATACGCACCCAAGATTCTTGTATCAGAATAAGCTATTTACCAGCCAACCATATGTGGTTGAATGATTAAAATGGATAAGTTGTCTTTTCAACTTGGCTTGTCTCTTAATTAGATCATAGCTTTATAGTGAAGCCCTTTAAAGAACAAGGCCAAGAAGGCATGCAGTTTTTAGGGCCTGCACCCTGCTTTTCTTATCCAAATGTCCAAAGAACCAAGCAGCCTCCTGCAGCAATGACCATCTCCTGCAAACAACTGTCCTCAGCTACTCCCAGCACTGAAGCTCTCACTGCCATCACACTGCCAGACACCACACATGCGTTGAGGTCAAATCCACTCATGGTACCATCCAGTCTTTGGTATCCCCAAAGCCAAAGAGATCAGGAAAAGCAATATAAAAGGCAGTAGAGTCTTATCTGTCCACTTATGACTCTTGGAGTTCCATGAAGAAAAACCAATGATCCTTCTAGAAAGAGTCTGGTATCTGTTCCATTTTCCCCAAGGGATCCCAGGCTGTCAGAAATTTCCCTTTTTGGGTCCCTCATATGGCATTGAGTATGCAGTCCTAATTAGAGAAGAGGTGTCAGGCTGGTGGGAGCAGGGGAAAGCAAAAAGAAAAAGCAGATGAGCTGTAAGTCTGCCTTTCTTAATGGTCCAGGACACGTAGCCCTCCTGCACAGATAACTCACATGACCCATGATCTTCCCACCCAACTTATCATCAAACACCTCGACTTATCAAACAAACACCTCGCTGATAGAAGAATGCAAGCTAGCTCACTGCAACCTTAGGGTTATCAGAACTGCGTGTAGCCCTCTCCAGCACAAGCATCATCCTATAAAATCCCCAGCAATCCTCTGTCTCCTGGAACTCAGCTCCTCTCTTGCTGATCTGCCCACTGCTTTCTTGCAACTTTGCACTTTCTCTGATAATCTGCCTTTCTTTACCTACGACTATCTTGGTAAATTCCTTTACTGCCTGTGCCGCTGGCCCAGATAGTTGCTACCTGTGACACTGAGGGTGGCAAGAGGAAGGAGGGACAGGCAGAAGCAAATGAAGAAACAGGATCCAGTGGATGGAGAAATTTTACAGAGACAGAACAGAGGCCTTAAGGCTGTGTATGTATATGTATATATGTATACATATATCAACAAAACGTCAGTTTTAACTAAGTCAACTTTTTATTATAGAGCTCTAAAAAAACCTTTTTCTCAATTGTAATTCCTACTGGGGCCATTTTACGTTGCTTCTTCTGGCTGGGTTTCTGTCACCAAACATTCAACCCACAGAAGTGGCCATCCACACACTGCCCTGCTTTACTGCAGTGAGATAGAAGCTCTCGGCTAACCATCATTCTAAATATACCAGTGTTTTCAGGGAGTCCTTATAGGTCATTCTCTAGACTATCTGTCCTGTTCCACTGGTCTCTTTATTTAACTTTCAGTGCAGATTTGATCAAGCCTTTTCTCTGGGGTCTGCAAGTGATCATATCTGAGACACCCTGCTGTATTTGCTGGTCCAAGGCTTCTGGAGTCTGGCTGAGCCTCAGGGTAATCTGAGGAGCTTTTTCAAAACACTCACGTCCCCTCTGTGAGGTTGTGGTTCAGTGGGTCTGTGCTGGGGTTAGGAGTCTCAGGTGTTCACAAGCTTCCCGGGTGATTCCAATGATTGGCTGTTTGGGAACCACTTCTGTGGGCAGTGCTCTCTGGTCCAGCTGAGGGAGTTCTCATCGCTCCTATGAAGTGAGAACTGGAAGGGAATTTGAGGATAAGGTATCCCCAGTTTCTCCCTGTAAGATGAAGGACTTAAGGCTTAGAGAAAGGAAACAAAGAGTCCAAGTTGTAAATAACTCAATGGCAGAGCCAGCATTTGGCTCAGTTTCTTAAGCATCACCCATTTCTATGCTCGTTCATTTATTCATCCATTTGTTCATACATTATTTCTTTCAATCCTTTTTAGTTTCTGTGGGTTTTATTTTTCTTGTTATTTCTGTCAAGCATCAAGTATTTGTAAGGGCCTATTGTATGTGAAGAAGTGCTATGCTAAGTACTGGAGATACAGGTAAACATACATGATCCCTGAACTCTCGAAGCTTAAAATCTTGTTGGAAGACAGGCATGCAGGCAGACAATTGAAATCTGATTGCACATGTACTAGAATAAATGGATGCTCTGATGATAGCGAGATCATAGGGAGGCAACTCAAGTACAATGAAGGGAGTCAAGCTGAGCTTGATAAGGGGGGCATTTGGGATGGGACTGGGTGTGAGGCTGAGCTTGCCTGGAGGATATGGGCAGGGAAGGCACTCAGCAGAGCTGCAGACTGAGCACCGAGTCAGGGAAGGATGGGAGAGTTGGAGAGGGCATATCGTCTGTTCTTGGATACCACAGCCTGAGTACAGAGGCAGGGAAGGATGGGAGAGTTGGAGAAGGCACATTGTCTGTTCTTGAAGACCACAGCCCGAGGACAGAGGCATGAAGGATAAGAGAGTTGGAGAAAGCACATTGTCTGTTCCTAGGGGGCACAGCCTGAGAGCACAGAGGCAGGAAGGATATGAGAGTCGGAGAAGGCACACTGTCTCTTCCTGGAGGGCACAGCCTGAGAGCATAGAGGCAGGAAGGATGGGAGAGTCGGAGAAGGCATGTTGTCTGTTCCTGGAGACCACAGCCTGAGACAGGAGAGACAGGGGTGGGACTGAAGATGGAGCTAGGACTCACCCACCTTGGAAAGGTCCTGCCTGCCGTTCTTCTGTCTTATGTTGGTACTGATAGGGACTCAGGAAAGACTTTCAACAAGAAGATGACTGATCTAATTTCTGTGCAGAAAGGTCATTCTGCACAGAAATGGCCAATGGGCCAAAAAGAGGAGAGAGTAGAGGCAGGGACTCCAGGGGGGATGAGAGAATTCAGCAAATTCAGTGAAAATGAATGCCTGAACCGGGTCCTGGCATTGTGAGTGGGGAGGAGAGGCAAACAGGAGGTAAGGAGGCACCTCTCTGGACTTGACGGTTGGTAACATTTGGGAAGAAAGAGTGGGAGGAAATTGGGATGCCACTTCATTTTCTGGCCTAACAAATGAAGCGCATGGTGGTGCCGCTAATCGAGATAGGGAATTCAGAAGGAGTGCTTGTGGAGGGAGGTAGGAAGATGAGCTCATTCTCATATGCTAAATTTGAGGTACCTGTGGGTCAGGCAGAGGCAGGTGCCACCTGGAGCTTAGGAGAGAGAAATGGGATATAACAATGGACTGGTAATGTAATCATGACCTTTGCAAAAACTTGGCTGTTTCGTCATATAAAATAGGAACTTAACTTTGGAGACTTAAAATCTTTTTTCTTTTTTGAGAATGGGGGTCTTGCTCTGTTGTCCAGGCTGGAGTGGAGTGGTGTGATTATAGCTCACTGTATCTTCCACCTCCAGGGCTCAAGCCTTCCAAGTGGCTGGAACTACAGGTGTGCACAACCATGCCCAGGTAATTAAATTTTTTTTTTTTTTTTTTTTTTTTTGGTAGAGATGGGGGTCTTGCTATGTTGCCAAGGCTGGTCTTGAACTCCTGGGTTCAAGCTGTCCTCCTGCCTTGGCCTCCCCAAATGTTGGGATTACAGGTGTGAGCCACTGCGCCCAGCCTAAAATTTCTTAACCCACATATAAGTAGTCATCGATTATAAAAATAGGCTTTCAGCATGAAAATGATTTTTCCTGAAGTTGGAGAAATAGAAGAGGATTCTTGGCCTCATGTTCTTTCCAGTTCCCATGATCTTTCAAAATCAACTTTGGCTCACTACCCTGTTTCCTGATGTGCTTTGCCTGCTGGCTTGTTCTGCTGGCCCCTGTCTTCTGCCCATGGGCCTTGCTTTGACCTATCTTGGTCTCCAGCCTCCATGTTGTTCCATTTACTGTGGCTGTGTAATACATTACCCCAAACTTAGTGGCTTAAAAAGCAACCATTTATATTGCTCATTGTATTAGTCCATTCTCACATTGCTATAAAGAAATACCTGAGAATGGGTAGGTAGTTTATAAATCAAGGAGGTCTAATTGGCTGACAGTTCTGCAGGCTGTGCAGAATGCATGATGCCGGCATCTGCTTGGCCTCTTGGGAGGCCTCAGGAAACCTACAATCATGGCGGAAGGCAAAGGGAGAAGTAGGCATGTCTCGCGTGGCTGGAACAGGAGGAAGAGTGAGAGTGGGGAGGTGCTACACACTTTTAAATAACCAGATCTCCTGACAACTCTATCATGAGCACAGCTCTAGAGGGATGGTGTTAAACCATGAAAAACTGCCTTCCTGATCAAATCACCCACCACCAGACCCCACCTCCAACACTGGGGATTATAATTCAACATGAGATATGGGTGGGGACACAGATTCAAGCCATGTCACTCATGCGTGTGCAGTTTGTGCAGGTCTTGATGGGGATAGCTTGTATTTACTCCATTCACCATCAGTGAGGGCAGGTTGAAGACCAGAGCTGGAATCTTCAGAAGCCTCACTCACTCACTCACTCA
The DNA here is from genome assembly GCF_000001405.40 of Homo sapiens. Taxonomy (NCBI): domain Eukaryota; kingdom Metazoa; phylum Chordata; class Mammalia; order Primates; family Hominidae; genus Homo; species Homo sapiens. The sequence goes on from NC_000007.14 coordinate 152,974,308, forward strand.
CTCTGGTAGTTGCTGCTGAATGTTGTCTGACACCTCAGCGGGGACTCTCAGATGGAACATACTTCATGGGGACTTGGATTTAAAACAACATGGTCACTGGGCTCCAAGAGCACAGACAACTTGTGCTTGAGAGTGCGCATTGCCTTTTATGACCCTGCTCTGGAAGTCACCCAGCATCATTTCTCTTGGATTCTATTCATTGAGGCAGTTAAAGTCCCTTGTATCTTCAAGGTAAATAGACTTCCTCTCTCAATGGGGAAGGGTAAGATCCTAGAAGAGCCTGGGAGATATTTTTATTCTGTGGACACTTTTGAGAAATGTATTCTGCCACACATGTATTTATGGTGCAGTGATTCCCTGAGCCTGCACGCAGCCCTGCACCCCACCTCTCCTGGCCCTTGCTGCCTTCCTTCCTTCGTGCATTGCTGACCATGGTTCAGACTCACAGGATGAATGGGGCACAAGTCGTCCTTTTTCACAGTCTCCTGCCAAACAAACAAAGTGATCAAAGGTGACAGCATCAAATTGGCAGCCACTGGTGAGGAATACCAAAGCCAAGAAAAATGTCTGCAGAATCTGAACCTTCCAGACTTTCCTTTCTTGTCAGCAAAAACAGTTAGATTTAGGGACTTGTAGTCAGCAGTGAGATTTAAGATGTTTGGTTACACAAATAAAACACTACAGGTCTTCTTGGGTTAACCAGAACAAATTTATGATGGAGAAATTATGTTTTTTATTTTTAAAAGACTCTAAGATTGGCTAAAATTCCTCTACCTGTAGGGCAATATTTTTCTTTTGAAAATTTGAATTTCTCATCAAGGTGAAAGGTAGTGTTGGTGACCTTGTTTATGATGGAGAAAGCTATATATTTGCAAGGCAAAGTTCTTCCCGGGAAGTTATACTGTCCCTGACTTTTGTTGCAAAGCTGCTTTGATTTATCCATAAGCCTAACTTTCCCGACAGAAGGGATGATTAAACTGGCTGGCAATTGAAATATGATACAGGCTAGTTCTGATTGGGGGAAGCCACATGATTAGGCTTCTCCAGGAGGGCCTGGTGACCCTGGGCCAGATGTTTTGAGAAAAATTTATAGGATGAATGGAAAAACAAAGAAGATAGAAGGAAATGGGAAAAATAAATCCCTATTCTGAAATCACCAAAAGCCAGAGAGTTTGAAGGAAACTTTGAGATAAAAACAAATGGCTCACCAATACTTTTTTTCTTTCTTTCTTTTTTTATAAAGTTTGCCCAGGCTGGTCCCAAACTCCTGGGTTCAAGTGATCCTCCTGCCTCAGGCTCCCCAAATGTTGGGATTACAGATTTGAGTCACCACGTACCGCCTCACCAATGCTTTTTAAAGTGCATATGCAAAATATGTTATAAGGCAAATATATATTTGTAAAAAAAAAAAAGTCAAAGACTAGCTATGGAAACTCAAAAGTTAAGGTGGTGATTGTAGAAGGATGGGTAGTTAAGTGAATGCATTCATCTGGCAAACTTGGTTGAGCACTGGTAACCTTACAACGTCCTGTGGATGGAGTTGGAAAGGCAGTTCTTACCCCTTATACATTCATTGTCTTGTAGGGGAGTGTGGTTGGCTGAAGAATGCTCCCCAAAGATATTCATGTCCTAATCCCTGGACTTGTCAATGTTACCTTATATAGCAAAAGAGCATTTGCAGATGTAATTAAGTGATGGGTCTTGAGTTGGAGAGATTAGCCTGGATCATCTGGGTGAGCCCTAACTGCAATCACAAGTGTCCTTTTAAGAGGGAGGCAGAGAGAGACTTGGCTACAGAAGAAGAAGGCCATGTGATGCTTGAAGCAAGATGCTGCACTGCTGGGCTTTGAAGATGAAGGAAGAGGCCACGAGTCAAAGGGGGCAAAGAGCATGGCTCTGGAAGTTGGAAACAAGAGCCTGGCCCTGCTGGCACCTTGGTTTTTAGCCTAGTGAAACCCAGTTTAGACTTCTGACCTCCAGATTTATAAGATAATAAATTTGTGTTGTTTTAAGCAAAAAGTTTGTGATAATTTGTTATAGCAGCCATAGGAAGCTAATACAGAGATTTAGACTTAGTAGATATCTGTATCTGCTAAGATGTAATTTTAAGCTATGTCCAACTGCCTTTCTGAAAATTTTTATCACTGAACTTATGATAAATAAAAAATTTTTACTGTTTATTTCTTTGGCTTTAGGATTTGTTCAGTAGTCAAACATCAAATACCCTGGGTATAGAATTTTGGCCTCTTTGTCAATGCTCTTGCTAGAAGATTTTAATAATGGTATGGAGAAGGAGAGGAGAGTTTGAAGAGGCCCCTTTAAGATACTTCTTCATTTTAAGATATGTATGAGGTCATACGATTATTTTTTAAAAAGTAGACAGATTAAAATGTAGGCATCCAAACAAATTTTATTCCTGTCAAATGTCCATGTGGGATGTTGTGTAATAACTTTAATGGTATTGCCGTGGCTTAGAAATAAGTTAGATATTTTTCCTCTTAGAGCCTTTGAATATCCTCTGTGGTGTCAACTCCATCATCCAATGGAGAATCTGATTTCCTATATAAACATGAATTTTCTCCAAAATCCAGTGATTACGTGGAGTATGATACTGACTATTACTATTTTGACTAAAGACAAACTACTTCACACATACAAACAAATCCCTACCCCAAATTTTGTGACTGGAATAAAGACAGAGTTTCATTTCCATGTGTCTCTGTTTGCATGTGTGATCTTTCACTGAAATCAGGTCATTTTATGCTATAAGGAGCTTTTTATTTTTTGTCTCACTAAAAAAGTAATGTGCCAATTAAACAACATAATTCTTTACTAGAAATTTTGTATTTATTGAAAGACATATTTTAGCCTTACTTAGACAAATTTAAAAAATTATCACTCTGTGCAGGTCTGAAAAATAAAAAAGTAAAATTGGTTAGGATAGTCCTGAGATGTCTTCTCATCCAGTATCTGATGCTTTAGAATCATTTTTTGACTTCGTGTCACTAATATCCAGGGCTGCAAACACGGTAATGTCCTCTATGCCCTGAAGAGCATCAGTAAAGATGGATTCTAGGCTTGGCATGGTGGCTCACACCTGTAATCCCAGCACTTTGGGAGGCTGAAGTGGGAAGATCACCTGAGGTCAGGAGTTCGAGACCAGCCTGGCCAACATGGTGAAACCCCATCTCTACTAAAAATACAAAAATTAGCTGGGCATGGTGGTGGGCACCTGTAATCTCAGCTAATCAAGAGGCTAAGATGGGAGAATTGCTTGAACCCAGGAGGTGGAGGTTGCAGTGAGCTGAAATCTTGCCACTGCACTCCAGCTTGGGGGACAAAGTGAGACTCTGTCTCAAAAAAACAAAAAATGAAACAACAGAAAAATGCATTCTAGAAGGACTGCTCCTCTTGATTCTCCTAGATTTTCAAGTCTCTCTCACTGCTGGTGCATGTTTTGAGGTTGGTTGCTCCTTCTCCGATGATGAATATTTGCTTTGCTAATATCACATTTATTTCTGGCTGCTCTGCTTCCACGCCTTTCTGAGTACCCAATAGCGTTCTGTTTAATGTGGAACCATGTCACTTTTTCTTAAGGTAGTAATTTTTTAGTCAATAGACTATTTTTCAGAGGATTTTTAGGTTTATAGAAAAGTTGAGCAGGACGTACACAGAGTTCCTGTGTCCTCCCATCCTCCCACCTGTCATCTTTTTGAAGACATTTTGTAATCACCCAGTGGATTCCTCTTGCATGCTGCACAGACAAAATCAATTCACTGAGACCATGGCATTGCAGTAAAGAAAGTTGAATTGGTGTGAGGCTGGCCCATGTGGGAGAACTGGAGTTAGTACTCAAATTAGTCTCCCTGAAGGCTGGGGTATGGTTTCTCAAGGATAATTTGGTGAGCAGGGGTCTAGGGAATGGGGAGTGATGACTGGTTGGGGAGGAAATCACAGGGGTGTGGAAAACAGTCCTCGGGTGCTGAGTCTGCCTCTGGGTGGGACCGCAGGACAGGTTGTCATGAGTCTCAGGTTCAGGTGGAGGCAGCCAGTCTTCAGGAATGCACAAGTCTGAAAAAAAAAAATCTCAAAGGCCAATCTTAGATTCTATAATAGTAATGTTATCTACAGGAGTAATTGGGGAAGTTACAAATTGTGTGACCAATTGTGTTACAAATCTTGTGACCTCAGAACAATGGCTGGTTATCTCTTAACTACACCTACCTCTTAGCAGAATTCAAGCCCCTCTTATAATCCGAACCTTGTGGCCTTTCATTAGTTTCAGAAAGGTGATTTCATTTTGGGGAGGGCTATTATCATCCTTGCCTTAAGATTAAACTATAAACTAAATTTCTCCCAAAGTTAGCTTGGCCTGTATGCAGGAATGACCAAGAATAGCTTGGAGGTCAGAAGCAAGATGGAGTCAACTATGTCAAATTTCTCTTACTGTCATAATTTTGCAAAGGTGGTTTCATTTTATTAGGAATTAAACTCAACACGTGGTACAGACATTGCATGCTATCAACAGAAGTGAATACAGGGTGAAGTTAGGGTTTACACACCCACAAACCCCAATGACAACCATGGTGTGACCATCTGTCTCAGTCCCTTTGTGCTCCTATAGCAGAACACCTTAGTCTGGATAATTTATACAGAAGAGAAATTTATTTCTCATAGTTCTGCAGCCTGGGAGGTCCATGATCAAGGCACCAGCAGACTTGGCCTCTGTTGCTTCACAAAGCTTACTCTTTTCATAGATGGAGCCTCTTGCTGTCTGCTTACCTGGAGGAAGGGCCAGAGAGGGGCAGACGCTGTGTGCTCACATGGAGAAGAGATGGACGGGCCAGACAGCTCCCTGAAGCCTCTTTTTAAAGAGCATTCATCTCATTCCTGAGAGTGGAGTCCTCATGGCCTAATGACTTTTCAAAGGCCCTCCTCTTAATGTAATCACTTCTGGGGTTAAGTTCCAACATATGAATTTTGGAGGAACATGTACATTCATACCATTGCACCATTCCTCAGCTGACAGTGATTGCAGGACTATAAGACACCCTGATTTCAGAGATGTTAAGATGTGAAAAAAATACGCCTTTTGGAATCCCTAAAGTTTATCACCTTTGTTTAAGGTTGCACAGTTTTAAATCCATGTATAATATTTTTGTGAGCTGTCTACTGCACTGTTGCTATTTCCATGTTATGAATAAATTGCAGCTTAGAAAGGGTAAGGGATTTTCTCAAGGTCAAACACATTCAAGGACATTGGCCCTTGGCCCAGAGTCAGTAAGGCAATCAGCCTATTTTTGTTTTCTTTTTGTGGCAATAGGATGTAATACAGCAGGCTCTTTATAGTAGTTTTTATTTCCTTTAGAACCAGATAGACCTGACATAATAGTTTTTGAGAAACAAAATCATGTGTATACATATTTACTATAGGAAGACAAATACTCTCGTTTGCGTTCAGTGTTGATTCCTGCATGGTTGATAAGCATCAAGAAAGCATTTATGCATGCTCAGTGGAATAGAAGAGAATCTCTACATATTCTGTTTCGCATTTTCCAATGGTAATTGACTTTTTAGAGGACCGAAGATGATTCTGTTTCCTTCCTTTCCTCTCTCCTACTTGTGCATTTATCCTCAAATGTTAGCCCCAATGGGAATGAATCCCAGTTTTTTAAAGGTCTTTAAAACACTTTCATTTAAAAACCTCATTTGCAGGGACTATTGATTTAATTAGCCTGAGGTCATTTGTTGGATTACCAGTGTCTCCATGTTCTCTTCTGGAAGTAGAGAAGTGGGAATTGTGGTGGAAGGAGAGATTATTAGTTTAGCTCCGTGAACAATTCAGTTAAGGTCTCCTGGTGATGGCTACTCTGTTTTTCTGTCTGGATTCAACCAGTATGGTCCACTATTTGCCTGACTGCTACAGAAGCCACTTAAATTATTGATAAGCACAGAAATCTATGAAATTTAGAAAAGATGGCATCACAGGATAGGATACTGTTTAGCCAGTGAGTTGATCATTTTGGCTTCAAAAGCGAAAATGAAATCACAAAGGTATGATTTTCATGGGGGGCAGGAGGAGCTGCTGGTATTTGTTCTCTTATTTCTACTCAAGCATCTATAGAGACTGTATCTGACATGATGGTGGAGACTGGAGAGACAAGCATGAAAAACACAGGATTCCTGCTCCTGGCATGCTTGCCCATTAGTAGCAGAGGCAGATTAACAACAAATGGAGTTAGTCCAAATAGCAGGGTGTAGAGGGTGGTGCGGGCACCCTGAGGAGAGTGTATCCCAGCCTGGGTAGATAACCTTATGCATCAAACTGAGGAATTCTCTTGGTAGCAGGTGCCTGGGAAGAGCATCTATAGGGCAGGACTTTGGGAGATTGGGGATGGGGCTTTCCTTAAGACCTGACCAAGACTCCAGATTCCCCTCTCTCATGAATTCATCATTGACATGCTGGTCTCCAGGAGCCTTCCCCTTTTCTAAATTATTAATCTTAAAATTTGCTTCACATGTGTTTTCTTTGTTGCCAGACATTTCCTTTCCCCTCATTTTTATAATTTCCACGTGAAATTGTTAATTATACTGATATAGAAGTATTTTCTACCTATGTCGGGCATGGTGGCTCATGCCTGTAATCCCAGAACTTTGGGAGGCCGAGGCAGGTGGGTCACTTGAGGCCAGGAGTTCAAGATCAGCCTGGCCAACATGGTGAAACTCTGTCTCTACTAAAAATACAAAAATTAGCCAGGTGTGGTGGCGCACCTGTAATCTCAGCTTGGGAGGCTGAGGTATGAGAATCACTTGAACCTAGGAGGCGGAGTTTGCAGTGAGCCAAGATCATGTCACTGCAGAGTATTGGAGGAGGGGTCTGTAGTTTTGAAAGACACTTTCCTGGAGACAGATGCATTGAGGAGGTTGATGATTACATGAGGAATGTCCCTACTCTTTCAGGACTAAAGATACTTTTTACCATCTCATCCCAGGACCCTTCTATTTATGCTTTTTTGATTGGGTGGATAGGAAAACAATTTCTAGCTCTGCTAATGTTACAGGATCCCAGAGAGTTGAGCCTCCATTAATATGGTAGACATTCTTATACTTTGATGAGCTACTCCATGGTCATATGTATGTAATATGTGATTGGTTTTGTTCACTTATTCAAACATTTATTAAGCACTTATTTAAAATCAAGACTGTAGTTTCTGGAATTTTTTTTTTTTTTTTTTTTTGAGACAGAGTCTCACTCTGTTGACTAGGCTGGAGTGCAATGGCGTGATGTTGGCTCACTGCAACCTCTGCCTCCCAGGTTCAAGTGATTCTCTTGCCTAAGCCTCCCAAATAGCTGGGATTACAGGTGCCTGCCACTATGCCTGGCTAAGTTTTGTATTTTTAGTAGAGATGGGGTTTCAGCATGTTAGTCAGGCTGGTCGTGAACTCCTGGCTTCAGGTGATCCAGCCACCTTGGCCTTCCAAAGTGCTGGGATCACAGGCGTGAGCCACTGTGCCTGACATCTGGAAGATTTTAATTAGAAAATTGAGACTAAAGTCTTTCTCTTATTCACTTAAATCTCTGCAGCGCTGATAGTTAGAAATATGATCTCTTATAACTTTATTCATTTATGATTTAAACTCTATTGTGGATTCTGTTCCACCACTCTTAGCTGGATCTCACTGTAACCTCTCTGCTGCCTGTTTCTCTCAGGCTTCTTTCTCTACCTTTTCCTTAATGCTTATACCTCTGGTCCTTTTCTCTACTTACCAGTCCTCTCTTTGTATGATTGTCTCCTTGCCTGCTCAAGGGTTGCATCCCACCTATCCCTGTATAAGGAAAATTGACCCAACAGATTATTATCAAGAAGGGGCTTGACAATGTTTTTCATAAGGCCCAGGTGAAAGAACAGAAGTCTATATGCAGAAAAATAAAACTACCTTTCACCCTATACAAAAATCAACTCAAAATGAATTAGGCTGCTCTGCTTTTACTTTCTTAATAAACTTGCTTTCACTTTACTCTATGGATTCACCTTGAATTCTTTCTTGCGTGAGATCCAAGAACTCTCTCTTGGGAAAAAAACGTGAATTGAAGATGTACATGTAAGACCTGAAACTATAAAACTACTAGAAGAAAACATAGGGAAAATGCTTCAGGATGTTGGTCTGGAAAAAGATTTTATGAATAAGACCTCAAAAGCACAGGCAACAAAAATAAAAATGGGATTACATTAAACTAAAAAGATTTGGCACATAAAAGACACCTACAGATTGGGAGAAAATATTTGCAAACTATTCATCCAAAAGCTGGGGGGACGGGAGTCAATATTGAGAATACAGAAATAACTCAAATGTCTCAACAGCAAAAAAAAAAAAAAAAAAATGGGCAAATTTTCTGAATAGATGTTTTTCAAAAGAAGACAACAAATGGCCAAGAAATGTATGAAAAAATGTTCAACATCACTAATCCTCAGGAAAATGCAAATCAAAACCATCATGAGGTATCATTTTATCCAAGTTAGGATAACTATTAAAAAAAAGACAAAATAACAAATGCTAACAAGGATATGGAGAAAAAGGGAACTCTTATACACTGTTGGTGGGAATGTAAACTAGTATAGCCACTATGGAAAACGGTATGGAGATTGCTCAAAAAACTAAAAATAGAACTACCGTATGCTCCAACAATCCCATTACTGGGCATTTATCCAAAGGAAAGGAAATCAGTCCATCGAAGAGACACCTGCACCCCCATGTTTATTGCAGTGCTGTTCACAAAAGCTAAGATGTGGAATGAACCTAGGTGTCCAACAACAGATGAATGGGTAAAGAAAATGTGGTATATATACACAATGAAATACTAAGCCATAAAAAGAACAAAATTCTATCATTTGTGGCACTAAGCACGAAACTGGAGGACATTATGTTAAGTAAAATATGCTAGGAATAGAAAGTTAAATACCACATGTTCTCACTCATATGTGGAAGCTAAAAACAAGTGGATCTCATAGAAGTAAGAAGAAGTAGAACAGAGAGCACTAGAGGCTGGGGAGGGTAGGGGGAAGTGGGGGTTAGGGAGAGATTTGTTAAAGCATGCAAAATTACAGCTAAATATGAGGAATTTCTAGTGTTCTATACCACTGTAGGATGACTACAGTTAATAATATACGATATAGTTTCAAATGGCTAGAAGGAGGATATTGAATGCTCCCAACATAATAAATATTTGCAGTGATGGATATGCTACATTACCCTGATCTGATCACTATACATATATGTATTAACACTACCCCCTAAATATGTATAATTATTATATGTCAATTTGAAAAAGAACAGAGGATATTAGGTCCTCAGAGAAACTTTCTTGAGCTAAGAAGAGTGGGAGGAGTAATACCTTGTTTTCAAGTAAGGTGTTAGTTAAGAGCAATCACTTATATACTACTTTAAGTAGATAGAGTGTTAGGATATGTGTCTGGGAATAGGATGGGGTAAACACAGGGGCCCCAGGAGGAAGGGAAGATGAGAAGGTGCTGGTGCATAGTTCCTGTCTTTGTTTTGCAGAACGCCTGTTCCATTGGCTGCTGCCAACTCCGACATATCCCCAACCGTCACCTCTCACCATCATACTGATTAAAATAGTATTAGCTTTATAGATCCCCAAAGGAAGGAAACATTAAAGTGGGTGGCTTAGGCAGAAAAAGTGGAGAAACTCTTGGTGAATCAAATCACAAGTCTGGGCTGAAAATCACATAGAGCTTTTTTTGTTAGGGCACAGATCCACGATTGATCCAGCACTGTTTCTGAATGTGCTTATTTCCCCCTGCTCAGGATCTTCCAGGGTAGATGCAATGTAACTCAAATAATTAATGGCTGTGTAAAAATATCATGACCATTTGATTTTTATAACCAAGCCTGTATGTAGGAAGAGCCATTGTTATGGTTTCACTTTATGGATGAAGAAACCCAGGAGAAAGAGGTTAAGAAATGTGCCTGAGGTTACCAGTTCGTGACAAATATGTGTCACTTAAACCTCAGCTCCAAGAATCTAGACAATTTTAGTTTCTTAAGAAGCAGTAGAGTGGGATAGGGCTGAAAAGTATTGAAGAAAAGCCATCCCCTGGGTCTCAGCATCATGCAGCTGCTTTCTTATGAGTTATTTCTCTTAAACTAAGAGGGTCAACTTGCTGATCAGGCAGTAATTTCTGGCTGTACTTAGTGGGACGATGCAACCTAGGAGGGCTCCTCTCAGCTTGTAGGATGGCTTGGACGCTTGACAGCTGTTATTGCTGCTGTTCTTCCTACCTGGGGCGAAGTTGACATTGAAGCTTTCAGCCTGAATTAGCTGTAGCCAAGACAACTTAAGGGACTTGTATTCTCTAAAGCCTCCAGCTGGGAAGGTTCTTACTATAACAAAATACTGCAAGCTTCGTGGCTTAAAACAACAGACATTGATTCTCTTATAGTTCTGGGGGCCAGCAGTGTGGGCTCAAGGTTGCAGCAGGGTCATGCTCTGGCCCCTTTTAGCATCTGGTGTTGCTGGTAATCCTCGCTGTCTCTTGGCTGGTAGATGCATCACTCCAGTCTCAGCCTCTGTTGTCACAGTTTTCTTTCCTGTGTATTTGTCTCTGCCTCCAATTGTCTCTCTCCTTATGAGGACACTAGTCAGGCGGGCTTAGGGCCCACCTAATCCAGTATGCTCTCATTTTAGCTTGATGACATCTGCAAACCCTAGTTCCAAATGAGGTCACATTCATAGGTGATGGGGAGAAGTTTAGGATGTCAACGTATCGTTCTGGAGGACACAATTTAACTCACAATGGTAAGCAACAGAAAAAAAGGGGGAAGTTTCCATATATTTGTGTCAGTTGATGTATTCTATTCTTCAGTTTTTTGCTCTTGAGAATTTCTCCAGGAAAACTCTTGCATCACAAACCAATTTTTATGAACTCTCATTTAAAATGTGACTGCACAGGTTAAAGCAGCTGTACCAAGGAATTGGGTCCAAATCCCCTTTTATTCCCATCTGAATAATCCAAGATAATCCCCCTACCTCAAGATCCTTAATGTAATCCCATCCGCAAAGCTCTCTTTGTCACAAAAGGTAACATAGTGACAGGTCATGGGAGTTAGGACATGGCCACCTTTGTGTACGTGTGTGGAGGGCATTATCCTGTTTACTGCACCATCTGATTTCAGAGTGGAGAGCTACAAAGGGCAGCAACAGCCTGCCCAGCACGGTGCCTCACCCATCATGATGGACTCTGTTTATTTTTTTGTTGAATTGAACTAGAGTTTATGTAAATCTGTTGCTCTTAAAGTTGCCCTCAGTAAGAGGGAAATTTGATAGGAACCTGTTAAGCTCCCTGCTTGGAAACCCAGAGGCCTTGACAGAGACTCTAAGGCCAGACTGGGTGTGGGACCATCTGGATCCTGCCCCAGGCTGTGAAACACAGTGCCAAGGGGTCTTCCTAAACAGGGGTGAGGTGGGAATATTGATTCCCAATGAAGCAGCCATGGAGGGCTTTGGGAAGAAAACCCAATAAGAGGTACAAGGCAAAGGGCAGCAGGTAAGGCAGATGCACAGAGCATGTGAGGGTGAGGACCTGAGAAAGGGCATCGTCCGGAGAGATGAATAATGACAGTGGCAACAAGAACTCGTTTTATAAACACTCATTCTGTACCAGCACTATGTTAACTGCTATACATTCTCACATTTGACTCTCACCGTAACTTTATGAGGCAGGTATTGTTAATATCCTCATTATACAGATGGGGAAACTGAGGCAGATAGCATAGCAATAACTTGACAAAGACCAAGAGCTAGCAAGTGGCAGATTCAGTATTTGAACTGAGGTCAGTTCAACCCCAGAGTCCATAAGATGGACCCACTTCAACACGCCTCTGTCACTTTTCCGGTCTGGAATGTTTGAATGTGGTACCTGCAGCTTTGCTCAGGGGCTGGATCCCTAGGAGAGCAAGCCTTAGGGGATGAACCCAAGATGCTGGTTTTATTTGTACTAAATCCTGAACAACTGAGCTGACTAGGCTCAGATCATTGACAATAATTTGCTTTGCATCATAACAAACTGTTCTTTTGTTATTATCGTTGTTGTCACCGTTATTTTTCATTGGCAAAGTGCTCTTGCAGTGTTATTTGCAACTCTGGTAAATCGATGGCTTCTAAATTAAGTCCAGTCCAAGCTGGCTGTTATGAATTCTGCTGGAGCTGCCCACGCATTTTGGCAAGAGCACCCAACTGGGGTGAGCCCTGTATTAGCATTTTAATTGCTGGCTGATTGCTTTCCTGTTGCAAGACTTAGCCCACAAAGGTATGCAAGCAAGTTTCAATTAGTTCTTATCCTGTGATTTACTGAACCTATAAAGAACATCTCCCTGTAGCACTTGGAAAGTAATACCCTTAATGTACTAAAAGCAATACAGAACATTAAAGAAAAAGAATTGCCTTTACCAAGGTGTGCGCGTCTAGAGTCCCAAGGAAAATTCCTGTTTGAATGATAGTAAATTTTCTTGGGTGAGTTCTCATTGAAATGAAATGAAACACACAAAAAACAAGCCCTTCCAAATTCCAGCTTCAGAATTATCTCCTTAATATGGAAATATCATCCCTGAGGTTTTCCCCTTGGCCTACTAGGGAAAGATAGTTTTGTGGGGGAAGATAGTTCATCAAAATGACATTTGTTATTGAGTTTGTATGAGTTTCTTATATGTTGTGGCTATTAACTCCTTATCAGAGATACAGTTTGCAAATATTTCTCCCCATTCCATAGGTTGCCTTTTTATTTTGTTAATTGTTTCCTTTGCTCTGCAGAAGCTTTTTAATTTGATGTAGTTCCACTTGTTTGTTTCTGCTTTTATTGTCTGTGCTTTTGTGTCACCTCCAAAAAAACCTGAACAACGTGATTAAGAAATGGGCAAAGGATCTTTGCATTAGCTCATTTTCACGCTGCTGATAAAGACATACCTGAAACTGGGAAGAAAAAGAGGTTTAATTGAACAGTTTCATATGGCTGGGGAGGCCTCAGAATCATGGCAGAAGGTGAAAGGCACTTCTTATATGGCAGCGGCAAGAGAAAAATGAGGAAGAAGCAAAAGTGGAAATCCCTGATAAACCTGTCAGATCTCATGAGACTTATTCACTATCATGAGACTAGCATGGGAAAGACTGGCTCCCATGATTCAGTTATCTCCTCCTGGGTCCCTCCCACAACACATGGGAATTCTTGGAGATACAATTCAAGTTGAGATTTGGGTGGGGACACAGCCAAACCATATCAATATTAATAGACATTTTTGCAAAGAAGATGTACAAATGGCCAACAGGTATATGAAAGATGCTCAGCATTACTGGTCATCAGAGAAATGCAAATCAAAACTACAATGAGATATCACCTCATTCCTGTTAGGATGGCTGTTACCAAAAAGACAAATGTTGGTGAGGATGGGAGAAAAGGGAGCCTTCGTGCACTGTTGATGGGAATGTAAATTGGTACAGTCATCATGGAAAACATTAGGGAGATTCATCGAAAATTAAAAATAGAACTGCCATATGACTCAGCAATTCCACTGCTAGGTATATATCCAAAAGAAATGAAATCAGTATGTCCAGGAGATATCTGTACTCCTGTTTTCACTGCAACACTATTCACAATAGCCAAATTGTGGAAACAACCTAAGTGTTCATTGATGGATGAATGGATAAATAAACTGTAGTATATATATATATACACATGAGAGCACTATTTAGCCTTAAAAAAAGGGAAATCCTGCCATTTGTGACAATGTGAATGAGCTTGAAGGACATTATTCTAAGGGAAATAAGCCAGACAAAGACAAATATTGTGTGACATCACCTATATGTGGAATCAAAATCGTTGCACTTTGAGTAACAAGTAGAGTGGCAGTTGTCAAGGTCCTGGGGACGGGGGAGATGGGGAGTTGTTGATTAAAGGGTACAAACTTTCAGTTATAAGATGAATAAATTCTGGGGATCTAATGTACAGCATGGTGTTAGTAATAATGTATCTTATATTTGAAATTTGCTAAGAGACTATAGTTAGTAATAATGTATCTTATATTTGAAATTTACTAAGAGAATAGATCTCCAGTGGTATCATTACACACACAGAAATGGTAACTATGTGAGGCAATGGATGTGTTAATTAGCTTGATTGCAAGAATCATTACACAAGGTATACTTAAATCACCATGAAGTGCACTATGAATATATTCAATTATTTTTGTCAATCACCCCTCAATAAGGCTGGAAACAAAGAATGACATTTGTTAAGCTTAGCAAATTAATATACCATGTTCCTAGTTACTCTGGTTATTGTATTTAAGAATTGGAAGTTGGCACCCTTTGAAACAATCAGATAGCTTGCCAAAACACAGATTCCTGGGCCCTGTCTCCACAGAGTTTGATTCAGTATGTCTGTAGCCGTAACCACAGCAGCCTTCATGTTCCCTCAGCTGGACTGACCTTTAGACAGGTTTTTTCCTCCTATAGGTCCCTGACCTCCCTTTCTTTAGAACATTTACTTTAGGAAACTTGGAATTGTAAATTCTTTGAGATGTAAATCTTCTTCCAGCCTCTTGCCAGTTTTACAACCCAAGAGTGACTTTCTCAAGGACCTAGGAGCCATCTCTTTGAGATATAATCATCAAGGAAGACAGGTCTCCAGTGGCTGTCCAGTCTCTCTGGGAGGGTGGGAGCCTAACTTTGATAAGCTCCAATTAGCAAACACAGATGCCTAATCACATTGACCAGTCTCTCCCATAACATCCTCCAAGACTTCTCCACTAGTTCACCCAGCACTCAAAGTCCCCTGCCTTCTGTTTCAGCAGAGTGGAGTTTATTCTCTCTCCTCTATTGCACTTGTCTTGGCCCTGATTGCAATACTCTTGAATACAGTCTCCCTACCCTGTTTAACCTCTGCCCAGTGCAATTTTTCTTCTGCGCTGAGTTTGGCTAAACTCAGTCTGGCTTGAGTTTCTGCATTTATAATAAGCTCCCAGGTGATGCTGATGATGCTGGCCTATGGGCAACACCTTAAATAGAGACTTTAAATAGTTGGAGGCAGCACAAATGGAAGAAATGCAGGGTATGTACCTTGGAAGACCTTAGGGTACTTGTCCTGCTCTCTGTCCTGAGATCAAAGCAAGAAAGCATCTCACTTGGGGTTGGGGTGGGCTGTGATTTCATTATTGGTGCCTCCTGGAGACAACACGGACCATCCTGACAGGTCAGCTGGTACTGCTAAGGTGTCTTGTTGACTGGTTGCCTTTTGTACCATCTAACTCCTTGGGTCCTGGAATTCTTCCTCTTGTTGGGGAGGATAAAACTGTAGTTACACCCTAGCAACTGTAAATTCTTTATTTTTACAGTTTTATTTATTTATTTAAATCATTTTGGCTTTGATGTTAGATTCAGGGGGTACGTGTGCAGGTTTGTTACCTGGGTTATAATTTTACAACTGTAAAGGAGACCAGTATTTTCAGGCCTCCCTTCTGCAGACTTCTTAAATCTCAAGGCTTTTGGCACAACTTTAATAGTATCTTCTGGTGTGAGTGAGATCAAGCTGTGGAATATGATGAGGTTTCCCTTCACACAGCCTGATCAGTCCTTTCTTCTTTAATTGGTAGTACCCTGCCCCCCCCCACCCCTTTTTCCTTTTTCTCTTTTCTGCCTTTGTTACATGCCCGGACATGCCACAGTACAGGCTTATCAGTACCAGCTCCCATTCCTTTCCTTATTTGGAAAGGAGACTAGCTCTCTAGCTCATTGCAGACACCCCTTCCTCTTTTTTTTCCCCCTCTCTCCCTTACGTGCTCACCTTATCTAAAGAAAGTTCAAATATCTAGCCAACCAGGATTAGTTCAGATTGTTCGACCCGACCCCGGCCAATGGGGAAAGGGTGCGGGGCAGGACTTGCATCAGGAATAAAGGCTCTCATGCCTCTTTGTTCGGGTGTGCTCTCATGGTGACTGGCCAAGGAGGCACCCCTCTGCACGGAAGTAAAATTGCTTTGCTAAGAATTCTTTGTTTGAATGTTCAATCTCCTTAGGATTTTGAGCGTTTATTCCCAACAATTCACTTGCTAATGACTTGGTCTTAACGTAAACTTTCACTGCAGCCTTCAAGGTGTTCATGGATCCCCTAAAGAGACCATCTTCAGGGCTGTCCATGCTTTGGTGTTCATGCTAGACTGAAAGGGGAGCAAAGAGAAGATCTTCCACATTTCGTGTTAAAAAAAATGTTTAGGCAAATTAATAAAAAGGAATTGTGCTTCATGTAATCATATATATTTTTTAGTTTTCTACTAGTGTTTGAAACCACTAAGAAGATAAAAGACATGACCAAAATGGCAATAGTAATTTTTGTATAAATCAATCTTCTAAATTTAGAATTTTTCTCAAATCACAAATAACAATTTTATAAAATGCTATTGTTGCTTGTAGAAGGTAAATAATAAACCCAGCACCCTCTCGCTATCCATCAATGGTGGTGTAATTGGTGCTATCCTATTTCTTAAGGTCTTTCCTTCAAAGAATACTAAGAACCCATTAACTTGTGCCATTGCCCTGGGATAAGAGGAACGGAAGTCAGGAGGGCTTTTGTGAAAAAAGAGATATTTAAATGTATCCTATTTATTTATCATTTCTATCATCTATCTAATCTATCCATCCATCATCTATTTATCTATTTATCCACCATCTATTTGGGAAAGGAAAATAAAATCTCAGGACCCCAAACTCACTATGCCAAAGGGAAAAGTTAAGCTTGGGAACTGAGTCATGCAAAAAACTGCCTTCCGTTTGTTCCTCAACAGATAGCTGCAAAGATAGAAGGCCACATATCTCCCCAGGTGGCCTCC
Source organism: Homo sapiens (assembly GCF_000001405.40). Classification (NCBI taxonomy): domain Eukaryota; kingdom Metazoa; phylum Chordata; class Mammalia; order Primates; family Hominidae; genus Homo; species Homo sapiens. The sequence goes on from NC_000007.14 coordinate 152,991,203, forward strand.
TTCCCCCTAACATGTAAATTAACAGCTTATCTTCATAGGTACGGGACAAAGACAAGGCTAGAAATTATCCCTCCACCTACCCTGAGACAAATGTATATTTAATTTCTTCCTCTACTTGATGTTAACTTTATTGTATGTAAAATGCAGATTAAAAATTTTTTTATTTTAAGTTCTGGGATGCATGTGCAGAATGTGCAGGTTTCATAGGTAGATGTGTGCTATGGTGGTTTGCTGCATCCATCAACCCATCACCTAGGTATTAAGTCCAGCATGCATTAGCTGTTTATCCTGATGTTCTCCCTCCCCCTGACCCCTGACAGGCCCCAGTGTGTGTTGTTCCCCTCCCTGTGTCCATGTGTTCTCATTGTTCAGCTCCCACTTATGCGTGAGAACATGTGGTGTTTGGTTTTCTGTTCCTGTGTTAGTTTGCTGAGGATAATGGCTTCCAGTGTCATCCATGTCCCTGCAAAGGACATGATCTCATTCTTTTTATGGCTGCATAGTATCCCATGGTGTGTATGTACCACATTTTCTTTATCCAGTCTATGACTGATGGGCATCTGGGTTGATCCCATGTCTTTGCTATTGTAAATAGTGCTGCAGTGAACAAACAAGTGCATGTGTCTTTTTTATTTAATGATTTCTTTCCCTTTGGGTAGATGCCCCGTAGTGGGATTGCTGGGTCAAATGGTATTTCTGGTTCTAGATCCTTGAGGAATCGCCACACTGTCTTCCACAATGGTTGAATAATTTACAGTCCCACCAACAGTGTAAAAGTATTCCTATTTCTCAACAGCCTCACCAGCATCTGTTGTTTCTTGACTTTTTAATAATCACCATTCTGACTGGCATGAGATGGTATCTCATTGTAGTTTTGATTTGCATTTCTCTAATGATCAGTAATGTCGAGCTTTATTTCATATGTTTGTTGGCCACATAAATGTCGTCTTTTGAGATGTGTTCTGTTCATGTACTTTGCCCACTTGTGATGGAGTTGTTTGTTTTTTTCTTGTAAATCTATGTAAGTTCCTTGTAAATTCTGGATATTAGACCTTTGTCAGATGGGTAGATTGCAAAAATTTTCTCCCATTCTGTAGGTTGCCTGTTTGCCCTGATGATGGTTTCTTTTGCTGTGCAGAAGCTCTTTAGTTTAATTAGGTCCTATTTATTAGTTTTTGCTTTTGTTGCAATTGCTTTTGGTGATTTTATCATAAAATTTTTGCCCATGCCTATGTCCTGAATGGTATTGTCTAGCTTTTCTTCTAGGGTTTTTATAGTTTTGGGTTTTACATTTAAGTCTTTAATTCATTTTGAGTTAATTTTTGTATAAGGTATAAGGAAGGGGTCCAGCTTCAGTTTTTTGTAAGATGCAGATTTACTGAGTGTAAGATGAATGCATAATTGACTGTTCCTCTTGCCCCTCCTGCTCATTCTTTCCCCTTTAAATAATTAGGTGCTCAAAATCCTCTTTGGAAAAAGCACAGGCCACAGATCCCATGTGACTTGTGTCTGTTTTTCCTGGGCATGTTCTCAACCTTGCAAAATAAACCTCTAGACTGATTGGGACCTGCTTCAGATGCCAGATGCTTTGTGATTTACATTATCTATCTATCTATCTATCTATCCATCCATCCATCCATCCAGATGGAAGAGATACTCAAAAGCGGAAGAAAATTATGTCCTCGGCAGAATATACTGCAGATCTGTGCATCAGTAGCTGTGGTCAGTGGGCCTTTGTGATCAGGGCAAGTATGATATGTGAATAAGTTATTCCTAAATCTTTTCTCCGTAACAGTCAGATCTCAGGATGTACATGTTTGTGTTCATATATGAGTGGCTGAAGATAGCCAAGAGTGGTTGAGTGAGGCCTAGTTATAGGAGTCAAAACTATACGACCTCTAGAAGAAAGCAGGAAAAAAATATTGTTACACTGGATTGGACATTGTGCCAAAGAGAACAACCACAAAAAATATTAACTGAAAAGTGGAAAAAATTCATATAGCCTGCTGCATAGAAAGGTGCAGCGAAGAAAATGAAAAGGTAAATCAAAGGCTGAGAGAATATGTGTACAGAAGATATTTTTTTAAAAACCTATTTTTTTGCTTTAGTGCAGAATATATAAAAAACTCTACAACCCAATAATAAAAGTCAGCCAAATAAAATGAACAAAAGGTTTTTTTTATGGACTCTATACTAAAGAAGACACAGGAATCGTCAACAAGCACATGAAAAGCTGTTCAGCATTACTGGTCATCAGAGAATGCAAATTAAAAACACATTGATCTATGCCTTACACTACCTAGAATGGCAAGATTTAAGACAGACAATACTTAGGCTTTGGTGAAGGCATGGAACAGCAGAACTCTCATGTATTGATGGTGGGAATGGAAAATGGTGCAGCCACTTTGGAAAACAATCTGGCAGTTTCTTTTACAGTTAAAAAATACTTATCATGGGCCGGGCACTTTGGGAGGCTGAGGTGGGCAGATCACAAGGTCAGGAGTTTGAGACCAGCCTGGCCAACATGGTGAAACCCCATCTCTACTAAAAATACAAAAATTAGCTGGGTGTGGTGGCGGGCACCTGTAATCCCAGATACTCGGGAGGCTGAGGCAGGAGAATCCTTTGAATCCGGGAGGTGGAGGTTGCAGTGAGCCGAGATCGTGCCATTGTACTCCAGCCTGGGTGACAGTGCAAGACTGTGTCTCAAAAAAAAATACTTATCACATGATCCTGCCATCCTATATGAAAACATACATCCACACAGACTTGTAAGTGAATGTTCACAGTAGGTGTATTTATAATAGCTCAAACTGGGAACAACCCAAATGTTTACCAACAATAGAACATGTAAACAGATCTTAGTGTAGCCATCCAATGGACTACTATCTAGCAATGAAAAAGAGTGCACCATTGGCCACATGGCAACAGGGATAAATCTCAGGAGTGTTAGAGCAGGTGAAAGAAGCCTGACACTAAAAGTACCGTGATTCCATTCATCGGACAGAGGAAACGATAGCCATAGACAATCAGTGGTTGCCTTGCTCTGGGGGGTCAGGAGAGAGGGAGCTGACAGTGAAGGAGCATGGAGGAGCTTTTGGGGAGATGGAAATGTTTTTAATCTTGATTGTCATGGTGGTTACATGACTACATATTTGCCAAAACAGTACAACTGAACACATAAGATGGGTGAATGATATTGTATGTAAATTACACCTCAATTAACCTGGGGCAAAAGGGTGATTAACTGAAGCCAACCAAGGCTGTCCAAGGAGCAGCTGTTAGAAGAAGCTTCCTGGTTAGAAGGAACAGGCTTAGAAGCTAGCTCTTCTGAGGGCGAATCCCAGCCCTGCCCCTTGGTGTGTGACTTTGGGCAAGTTACTTGCCTCTCTGGGCCTTAGGTTCTTAATATGCAAAATGAAGATAATGGAATAGACGTTTGTTATGGCCTGAATGTTGGTGTCTCCCCAAAATTTGTGTGTGAGAATCCTAACCTCCAGAGTGATGGTGTTAGGAGGCAGGGCCTTTGGGAGGCCCTTGGGTCATGAGGGAGGCACTTTCATTAATGGGATTAGTGCCCTTACATAAGGGACCTCAGGCTGGGCACAGTGGGTCACACCTGCAATCCCAGCACTTTGGGAGGATAAGGCCAGAGGATTTCTTGAGGCAACATAGTGAGACCCTCATCTCTATAAAATAAATAGATAAATAAGTAAAACTAAAAGAGGGTCAGAGAGCTCCCATATCCCTTCCATCATGTGAGGTTACAAGGAGAAGTTGGCCACCTGTAATCCAGAGGAGGTTCTGGTCATCACCAGAACTGACCATGCTGGTGGCCTGAGTTTGGAATTCCATCCTTTAGAACTGTGAGAAATAAATTTGTACTTTTTTTTTGAGACAGGGTCTTGCTCTGTCACCCATGCTGCAGTGCAGTGGCGTGATCACGGCTCACTGCAGCCTCAACCTCCTGGGCTCAAGTGATTCTCCCACCTCTGCCTCCCAAGTAGCTGGAAGTACAGACATGCACCACCATACCTGGCTAATTTTTAAATTTTGTGTAGAGATGGGGTCTCACTATGTTGCCCAGGCTGGTCCTGAACTCCTGGGCTGAATCAATCCTTCTGCCTTGACCTCCCAGGGTGCTGGGATTACAGGCATGAGCCACTGAATCCAGCCAAAATAAATTTCTATTCTTCATGAGACACCCAGTCTATGTCTGCGCTAATTTGTTATAGCAGCCTGAACTGACTAACAACCATATAGGGTTTCCATGAGGATTAAAAGGATTACTAGGCTGGGCTTGGTGGCTCATGCCTGTAATCCCAGCACTTTGGGAAGACAAGGCTGGATGGTTGCTTGAGGCCAGGAGTTTAAGGCCAGCCTCGGCAACATAGCAAGACTCTATCTCTACTATATTAGAATAAAAAGAAATTAAAATAAATAAAGGAATTGATATTTGTTTATTTTTATTTTTTTTGAGAGGGAGTCTCACTCTGTCGCCCAGGCTGGAGTGCAGTGACGTGATCTTGGCTCACTGCAACCTCTGCCTCCTAGGTTCAAGTGATTCTCCTGCCTCTGCCTCCTGAGTAGCTGAGATTACAGGCACCCACCATCATGCTCAGCTAATTTTTGTATTTTAGTTGAGACCAGGTTTCACCATGTTGGTCAAGCTTGTCTTGAACTCCTGACCTCAAATGATCCAGCCACCTTGGCCTCTCAAAGTGATGGGATTACAGGCATGAGCCACCGTGCCCGGCCAAGAATTAATATTTGTAAGTAAAAACACGTAGAAGGCTACTCAGCTCCTCCATAATAAATAAAGCCTCACCTTTGTCCCTGAATCTTGTGGGCTGTTGGCCAGTTTCTTGACAGTCTAAAGGAAGAGGTCAACTTCTCTGGAGACAAGAGGGCAAATAGATGTCCTGCCTCCAAAATGCCTAGTCTAAGCAAACTTCTGGTCTGGAGGGATGGGAGAAGCTGCTTGCAGCTTGTGGAGATGAGACATATATTTTACAACTTGCAGAGTAGCCTCTCCTCTTCTAGAGGAATATTTGCCAAATGTTGGGGGCAGGTAAACAGGCACAGGGGTTCATAAAACCTAGACCATACTTGCTCCGGAGTAGTTTCCAAAAGAGGGATCCTTGGAATCCCTGTTTCACAGGACACTTTGAGAAAGGATTTGTTGCTTAGAAAATATTAGAGAGCATTAGACAATTGGCAATTAAAAGCGTTTCTTTATTGCTTGATTCTAGTCTGTATTTTGCTAATGTACCTTGTAAATCTGTGAAATGACGGTGAGATAGGGAGCATTTTCCAAACTTATTTAAATTTGTCAACTCTTCTCGTCTCATAACAAATCTTCCATAGCACATAGTCTGGGGAAAAAGGTGCCCCAGAGACATGTGGGTTACCTATATCTACCTATCTGCATTTAGTAGTGTTGGCAGGGATTCTGTGAAGTCAGAAGTGCCCTGGTTCTAGCAAGGTGAAGTCAGTTACCACCAAATTCAGAACGGATTTCTCCAGAGGAAATAACCCGCATGGCAACTCACGGCAAGAAGTGTCCTTCTAGGGAAAGGAGTTTTCATCCATGTGCACACTCTCCAAGCAGAGCCTCTGGATCTGGGTAAATATGTCTGTGGGGTCATGTGGGGTGCGTAGTGTTGGAATGAGCATATACTGCGTTGTTCATTGATGTCCCCTAGTGTTTCAATCAGTTGCTTTTATTGTTAATGCTTTCTCTCTCTACAGTTTATAATAATTTCTCCATGCTTAAGAGTTGTCCGTAACTTGGCCTTATGGATACCAGAAAGTCCCAACTATCTCTCATTACCTGAAGCTGTACCTGAAATGTCTCCATCAAATTGACTCTTCTTGGGTTAAGTTATCATTTCCAGAATGCTTGTGGAAGAAGGCACACATTGTTGGCAGCATTTACCCAGGAATAATTGATCAGAGTAGGCTGGACAACAGGCAGGGCCCAAGGTCATGCAGAGCTCCTTGAGGGAAGAGAATGGGAACTTGTGGGCAGGTGGGCCGTGAGCCCCCAGGAACTTGGCACAGCAGCAGGACCCTGGCACTTAAGCGGGGGAGTTGGGCAGAACATCCTCCTCCGGGATTCTTGCTGATTTCCCAGGCTCAGGCTCTCCCAGCTCCATTGGGCCTCCTGTGTACAGAGGTACTTCTAAAATTACTGTCTACAAGAAATATATTTGTGGTATGCTGTTCTTAAGCTCTAGTTCACTGAAGATTTGAAGGTTCTGGGGAGGTAGTATCATCTTCTGGCTCCAGCCTGTCTCCTCTTCCATCACCTCCTGACTCTCTAGAGAAAAGATTCCATCTACACATCTGACCCTGGATATCTCATCTTCTACTCTAAGTACTTTTCAAGAGGTCCTCCCAGCAAATAGATCTTCTTCCTAAAAGCATTTCTAAAACTAGCTGTTAAAAATGTTCAAATTTCTCCACTTTCTCCGTTAGGATCAGCCAGAAGAGAGAAGCAACTTTGATTTATAAAGTAGGAAGAGACTCGATATTGAGAACTGTGAGATTAAACAACCACTGGAAAGCTGAGGAAGTGAAGACAAGGGAGGTTATTTTCGGGAAATCTGGAAGTGTAGAGATTGCTGGAAATCATACCTTTAATAGCATCAAAGTGGGAGAGTCTTGGGAGGACACCCAGAGATGTTGAAGATGCCAATGAATGCTGTCAATACAGCACCAGCAGGTGAACTGAGAGCCTGTGATTGTTTATCTTGCAAGTTCCAAGCCACTGAGAATAATGGCATCCTCTTTTTATCCTGCCTGCCAAGTCCTGCACAAGTTTCTCGTTGGAGGTATCAAATTGGGATCTGGCTGGCAAGGGGTCTGGGAAATGTTATTTCCAGTGCAGGGTGAAGGATGCTGAGGATCAAAAGCAACGTCCAACACATCCCTGGTTTATACACAATTTCAGGAGGCGAAGGAAAAGGAGGGAGAGATTCTAGGCAGGCAAGTGGCATGACCGAAGGACAGCGTAGGGCACAGGCCTGAGGCCAGGCCCACAGAAGCTTAGGGTGTCTCTGTCACAGGAGGGGCTGGAAGTCAGATGGTGACCAGGTTGTGGGGCTTGTGAGTGCCACAGGAAGGGTCCAGTGAAGACATTACATGAGGAAGTCATGTGATTAGGAAAAGGTGTTGGGAAAACTGAAGGGCTGGAAGTGGGGACAAGGCTCGGTTGGTTGCGCTGACTTTTCTCCCTTCTCCTGGATCTGGATCCTGGGTTTGGATTGTTTCCCGTCACAGTCACTGAGAGGGCGATGACTTGAAGGAAACAACATTGTCCCAGCAGGAGCAGTCAGGACAGTTGTAAACCCCTATGCTTTATTATCTGTGTACTTGCCACCAATTTAACAGGGTCTTGAACAAGGTCACAAGAAAATAGCCTCTTCCCCTGATGAACTGCTGATGCAGTGTCAGTTACTGGGGTTGGCAAAATAAACCTGCTTTTATAGGCTGTTTGCTTTCAAGGGTGAAAGCTCTTGAAAATTATATTTGGGTCCATTTTTCTGTCAACCTTTAAACTGTGACACATGAGTGTGCTTGGGGATTGGTGCTTTCCTTGTGGGGTCTCCGGTTCTAACTGAATCGATCAACCCATCAGTCAATCAGTCTATTACACAAAGCCCGGAAGGGTGGTGTCAGGGCTTCTGGGGACAACGTGGCAAGAATTAAAGTAATGGAAGATTTCAATGTCCCACTGATGAGGCTGGGCTTAATTCTGATGCAAGACCGAGGCTTGGAAGGGCTTGGAAAGGCGTTGTATTAGTCTGCTTTTGCACTACTGTGCAAAAGAATCTGAGACTGTGTAATTTATACTTGTGTATGCCTCATGAAGTTCTCGTGCTGTGTTTTTCAGCTCCATCAGGTCATTTAGTTTCTTCTCTAAACTGGTTATTCTAGTTAGCAATTCGTCTAACCTTTTTTCAGGGTTCTTAGCTTCCTTACTTTGGGTTAGAACATGCTCCTTTAGCTCGGAGGAGTTTGTTATTTCCCACTTTCTGAAGCCTACTTCTGCCAGTTCATCAAACTCATTCTCCATCCAGTTTTGTTCCCTTGCTGGGGAGGAGTTGTGATCCTTTGAAGGAGATCAGGTGTTCTGGTTTTTGGAATTTTCAGCCTTTTAGCACTGGTTTCTCCCCATCTTCGTGGATTTATCTACCTTTAGTCTTTGATGTTGGTGACCTTCGGATGGGGTCTCTGAGTGGATGTGCTATTCCTTTCTGTTAGTTTTCCTTCTAACAGTCAGGCCCCTCTGCTGCAGGTTTGCTGGAGGTCCACTCCAGACCCTGTTTGCCTGGGTATCACCAGCGGAGGCTGCAGAACAGCAAAGATTGCTGCCTGTTCTTTCCTCTGAAAGCTTCATCCCAGAGGGGCACCCACCAGATGCCAGCCAGAGCTTTCCTGTGTGAGGTGTCTGTTGGCCCCTACTGGGAGGTGTCTCCCAGTCAAGATACATGGGGGTCAGGGACCCACTTGAGGAGGCAGTCTGACCCTTAGAGCTTGAACGCTGTGCTGGGAGGTCCACTCCTCTCTTCAGAGCCATCAGGCAGGGAGGTTTAAGTCTGCTGAAGCTGCCTCCACAGCCGCCACTTCCCCCAGGTGCTCTATCCCAGGGAGATGGGAGTTTTATCTATAAGTCCCTGACTGGGGCTGCTGCCTGAGGCTGTGTAATTTATATAGAAAAGTTGTTTAATTGACTCACAGTTCTGCAAGGCTGGAGAGGCCTCAGGAAACTTACAATCCTGGCAGAAGGCAAAGGGGAAGCAAGGCACATGTTACATGGTGGCAGGAGAGAGAGAGAGAGGGAGGGAGAGAGAGAGAGACAGAGAGAGAGAGAGAATGCAAAGGAGGAAGTGCCATACTTTTAAACCATCAGATCTCATGAGAACCCCCTCACTATCATGAGAACAGCATGAGGGAAACTGCCTTTATAGTCCAATCACCTCCCACCAGGTCCCTCCCCTGACATGTAGGGATTACAATTCAAAATGAGATTTGGGTGGGGACACAAGACCAAACCATTTCATTTTGTCCCTGGGTCCTCCCAAATCTCATGTCCTTCTCATATTTCAATACCAATCATGCCTTCCCATATTTCAATACCAATCATGCCTTCCCAATAGTCCCCCAAAGTCTTAACTCATTCCAGCATTAACTCAAAAGTCCAAGGCCAAAGTCTTATCTGAGACAAGGCAAATCCCTTCCACCTATTAGCCTGTAAAATAAAAAGTAAGTTAGTTACTTCCAAATGACAGTGGGGGTACATGCATTCCTATTCTAAGTGGGAGAAATTGTCCAAAACAAAGGGGCTACAGGCCCCATGCAAGTCCAGAAACCAGCAGGGCAGCCATTAAATTTAAAGCTCTGAAATAATCTCTTTTGACTCCATGTCTCACATCCAGGGCATGCTGATGCAAGGGGTGGGCTCCTATGGCCTTGGGCAGCTCTGCCTCTGTGGCTCTGCAGGGTTCAGTCCCTATGGTTGCTTTCACGGCTGGTGTTGAGTGCCTTAAGCTTTTCCAGGTGCACAGTGCAAGCTGTTGGTGGATCTACCATTCTGGGGTCTGGAGGATGGTGACCCTTTTCTCACAGCTCCACTAGGCAGTGCCCCAGTGGGGACTATGTGTGGGGCTCCAACCCTACATCTCCCTTCTGCATTTCCCTAGTAAAGGTTCTCCATGAGGGCTCTGCCCCTGCAGCAGACTTCTGCCTGGACATCCAGACATTTCCATACATCCTTTAAATTCTATGCAGAGGTTCCCAAACCTCAACTCTTGTCTTTTGCACACCTGCAGGCCCAATACTATGTGGAAGCCACCAATACTTGGGGCTTGCACCCTCTGAAGCAATGGCCTCAGCTGTACCTTGCTGTCTTTTAGCCATGGCTGGAACTGGAGTGACTGGGATGCAGGACACCATGTCCTGAAGCTGCACAGAGCAGCAGGGCCCTAGGCTCAGCTCACAAAACCATTTTTTTTCTAGGCCTTTGGGCCTGTGATAGGAGGGGTTGCTGTGAAAATCTCTGAAATGCCCTGGAGACACTATCCCCATTATCTTGGCTATTAACATTTGGCTTTCCATTACTTATGGAAATTTCTGCAGCCAGCTTGAGTTTTTTTTTTTTTTTCCCAGAGAAAAAAATGGGTTTTCCTTTTGTACCACATGGTAGGCTGCAAAATTTCCAAACTTTTATGCTCTGCTTCCCTTTTAAACATAAGTTCCAATTTTAGATCTTCTCTTTGCGAATGTATATGACTATATGCTTTTAGAAACTGCCAGGTCAAATCTCAAATGCTTTGCTTCTTAGACATTTCTTTTGCCAGATACCTTAAATCATCTCTCCCAAGTTTAAAGTTCCACAGATCTCTAGGGTAGGGGTAAAATGCATCCAGTCCCTTTGCTAAAAGATAGCAAGAGTCACCTTTATTCCAGTTCCTAACAAGTTCCTCATCTCCATCTGAGACCACCTCAGCCTGGACTTCATTGTCCATATCACTATCACCATTTTGGCCAAAACCATTCAACAAGTCTCTAGAAAGTTCCAAATTTCCCACATTTTCCTGTATTCTTCTGAGCCCTCCAAACTGTTCCAACCTCTGTCTGTTACCCAGTTCCAAAGTTGCTTCCACATTTTCAGTTATCTTTATAGCAGTGTTCCACTGCTGGTATCAATTTTATGTATTAGTCCATTTTCACACTGCTACAAAGAACTACTTGAATCTGGTTAATTTGTAAAGAAAAAAGGTTTAATTGACTCAGTTCTGCATGGCTGGGGGGCCTCAGGAAACTTATGGCGAAAGGCGAAGGGGAAACGTGGTACATCTCACGTGGCAGCAGGAGAGAAACAGAGATCAGGGGAAACTGCCACTTTTAAAGCATCAGATCTTGTGAGTACACTCTCACTATCACCAGAACAGCATGAAAAAAAATCAGCTCCCATGATCCCATCACTTCCCACCAGGTCCCTCCCCTGATTATACAAGGATTACAATTTGAGATGAGATTTGGGTGGGGACACACAGCCAAACCATATCAGGTGCTGTGGTTGCTGTTGCAGTTGGCAGCAAATCTCAGTGAAGATCCTAAACCACCAAGTCTTCACAGTGTGAGCCCACCATGAAGACCTTTACATGACCTTGTTTTGACTAATGAAGAACTCAAACAGGGCAGGCATTTACATGCAAATAGTGGCTGTGCCTTACCTGGCCTTTCCTTTTTTAAAGTTGACGCTGAGGTTAAAATTAGGAGGCTTGAATTTTATTCTCAAAATATAATATGTACCTTATGCACATATACATTCCCAAAGATGACTAATTCAATATATATCATAGATGAGAAATTTTACTTTATAAAATATGACTAAAGATTTCCCCACTGTGAATTGCAGATTTGAAAAGGCTTTGCATGTTGCTCACAGATTCGACCAGTCTATTATTGAGGCCGCCACATGACCTTTAATTTGATTAAATAAAAATCCTATCCAGGACTATTAATTGAATGTTTAAAATGTGCATATTATTGTGCTAGCTGTTGTAAGGTTTTGGGGGCTCAACACATATGCTATGGACTTTAGCAATGCGAATTGTACTTGCCCGTGGCTTGATCATTTACAAAGCACTTTCCCGTACATCATTACAGCCCTGAAGCAACCTTGCCCAATGAGACAGGGAAGCATTACTTCCTAATATTTTCTTTAAGGTGACAAAATCAAAGTTGGGGGAGGCTAACTAAGGCTGCACATGAAGTCACAATGCTAGTGCATGGCAGTAAAATTCATGGCAACACAAGGCAGCCACATTGCTAACTTTGAAAAGTGTTTTGTTAAAGTGTTGTAATTTAAAAAATATGTATCATTGAAGACATTTATTGAATACTAACCAGTGCACAGGGGCTCAGGATGGGAATTATCTAGTCTGTTTTTATCAGGTTGTCCATTTTTCTAGGCTCTCTTAAATATTATACATATGTTTGTAAAGACTCTCCCCCTCCCTCCCTAACTCTCTCCCTCATCCCCCACACTTCCTCATCCCACAGGAAACACTTCTTGAGCTTTTATGTGGTGCCACAGAATAGGGCCTGGTCCCACCCTCTGTGGCACGGCTGACTCTGTGAAACACTGTCTAGCTGGTGCCAGGGGCCCACAATTCATCAGCTGTTAGGTTTTGGTTCTTAAAAGATTTGTTTCTCGGCCAGTCATGGTGGCTCATGCCTGTAATCCCAGCCCTTTGGGAGGCCGAGGTGGGCGGATCATGAGGTCAAGAGTTTGAGACCATCCTGGCCAACATGGTGAAACCCCGCCTCTACTAAAAATACAAAAATTAGCCCGGCGTGGTGGTGGGCACCTGTAATCCCAACTACTTGGGAGGCTGAGGCAGGAGAATCGCTTGAACCCGGGAGGCAGAGCTTGCAGTGAGCCAGAATCGTGCCACTGCACTCGGCCTGGCGACAGAGCGATACTCCATCTCAAGAAAAAAAAAATTGTTTCTCAATACCTAATGCGTGTGGGGCATAAGACCTAGATGACAGGGTGATAGATGCAGCAAACCACCGTAGCACATGTATACCTATGTAACAAACCTGCACGTTCTGCACATGTATCCCAGAACTTAAAAAAAAAAAAAAGATTTGTTTCTTTCTAGACTTCAAAGAACTTAGTTCTCCACTCTCCAGGGTTATGTTTCTGTTTTCTAAGTCACTACCTGCATCTCCTTCACTTTTTTCTTGGGGTCTTCCTAACAGCCAGATGGTCAGTCACTCAGAGCTCTGCTCTCATCTAGGAATCCAGCCTGAATGCTGGTGGCCGTTTCTAGGTTGGGGCTTCTTATAAGTTGGTAAGAGAATTCCTAATAAATTTTAGAATACGTGGGTTGAATTTGAGCAAAATATACGAATTGCAGGCACGTTTAAAAGTGTCCTGACAATGCCCTCAATCCTCATATAATTTTATCACACAACTTTTCTCGTAAAATGCACTTGTGACAATAATTGGAGACCGGCAGCCACGCACCGATGCGGTGTGGAAGCTGAAAGTCAGCCAGGCTGTGTCCCCTGCTGACAGCCTCCTTCCCTGGCTGCAGCTTCTTGGTATAAAAGGTTCAAATTCCCGCTTCAGCAAAAATGCAATGGATGATTCCACGGGGTTTTAGTGGCCTTGCTTCAATACTGGAGGTCAGAAAGTCCGGTGGCTCTGAGGGTCTCTGCGTAGATGCCCCTGACTTGTACCCTTTGCTCCGAGCCTGGGGCAGCTCTGCTGCCACTGAGGCCAGAAGCTCCTGGGGTCCCTTCCTGCTGCTTGTGGCCTCACTGCGGCCTACCCTCCATCTCACACCGCAAGGCCCTCGGCCTCGCTGGAAACGCCAGCAGCCCTTTGCAAGGATGACTGTGACTCCCTGTGTGTCTCAGAACAGCTTCAGCCTCTGTTCAGTACACCGCCATGCTTTACACAAAAGGACAGACAACGCCGAAATCAGCAAGTGGTGCAGCAAGACGTTCAGTAAAAACAGAAATGATTCAGAGAGAAAGAGACCGCCTTCACCCTGTGGTATTCGTCACTTCTGTGAAAGGAGAATAAATGCTGGGACCCCAGAATCACTAAGCCAAGAGGAAAAGTCAAGCTGGGGACTGCTTCAGGCAAAACTGCCTCCCATTTTATTCCTAAATAAGACGGCTACAAACATAAAAAGCTGCACAGCTCCCTCACCATTTGCTCACAGGGAATCCTTGTGGGTCTCAAGATCTTTTTTTTTTTTTTTTTTTTAAGTGTCTTGCTCTGTCACCCAGGCTAGAGTGCAATGGCATGATCTCAGCTCACTGCAACCTCCGCCTCCCTGGCTCAAGTGATTCTCCTACATCAGCCTCCCAAGTAGCTGGGATTATAGGCATGAGCCACTGCACCCAGCTAATTTTTGTATTTTTAGTAGAGACAGGGTTTCACCATGTTGGCCAGGCTGGTCTTGAACTCCTGACCTTAAGTGATCCAGCCACCTCGGCCTCCCAAAGTGCTGGGATCACAGGTGTGAGCCACTGTGCCCAGCCATGCCTCAAGAGCTTTACCCTAAAACAGTTGTGTGGAATTTCATCCTGGCAATGTGAGTTGACAGCTTATCCTCACAGGTGCCAAACAGGGACAGAACTCAGTCATCCCTCTGCTCACCTGAGACCAATGTGTGTCTGATGACTTCCTCTGCCCTGTATTCATGGAAAAATACAGATTCACTGAGCCAGACCAAGGCACAAGTGACTCTTCCTCTACCTTCTCTCACTTGTGAACTGCATATTCACTGAAAGGCTGATCAGAGACTCAGAAGAGTGCAACCGTTTGTCCCTTATCTATCTGTGATGTGAAAGTTCCCAGGCTTCGTGTTGTCCCGCCTTTCTGGACCTAACTAGTGTACAGCTTACACATATTGATTGATGTCTCTTTTCTTCCTAAAATGTTTAAAATCAAGCTGTGCCCTGCCCACCCTGGGCACATGTTGTCAGGACCTCTTGAGGCCGTGTGACGGGTACATCCTTAACTTTGGCAAAACAAACTTCTTGAGCTGATTGAAACCTGTCTCAGCTACTTTTCCGTTCACTCCTTCCTGCTGTGGGTCTACACAAGTGGTACTTTGGGTGTCCTCACAAAATACAACACTTTGTGTCTCTAAAACAGCGGTGCGCTTTTTCATCACTTACCTGTGTCTCTGCCATGTGGCTTCTAAGGAAGTGTTTTCAGTTGAAGGAACAGCTTTACTCCCGAGGAAGAGGGGGTGGATGACTGTGGACCATGTGCCTGTCTCCCTAGCAGTTCTTACCAGTCCCTCGGACCCGGTTGTAGATACAATTCACAGGACCCCAAGGAAAGAAATACAAGCAATAAGAATTTATTGAAAGACTTTTTAAGGCTCTAATGGAAGACAAACATTATTCAAAGATTTACTATTCTGGCCCTCAGCCAAAGGGCTGAAACTGAAAAGAAGGAATTTCAGGCATTTGCAGTAGGAATTTGGGGGCCAGAGTATCTTTCCTCGAAATCACCCCATTGCCTCTAACATCACCCCAAGGCGAGAGTCACAGCTTCAGTGCCGCATAGGAACAAAATAGTAATTACAACATGCCTTTCATTTGACTGGCTACCTCAGATTCATGTCCTACAAGCTGGGCTGGGCTGGTTATAACCAACGTTGCTGAGGTAGCTACTGCACAAATACCTGCCTTTCCCTCAGTGTCTGGAGCTTGGCCATCTAATATCTTTCTACAAGGCAATGAGTCTGGGGGCTTGAGGGAGCATACCCCAGAGCAAAACTTTCATGTCAGAGGGGACCAGGGTCCCAGAGACCCCCAGACTGTGCAGGTGCCCTCACAGAGACAGCTGGGGCCAATCTGGGCACTTAGCACAGGGCTTCCACTCCACAGGAAGACTACCCAAAGCTCAGGTGCCAGGGTGTAAATGTCTCCTGTTCTAGAGGCAGAACTCATTCCCTCACTTCTCATTGTCCCATGGGCCCAGCTAGAGGCAGCAGGGATTGCCCAGGACAGTCCTTAACCTTGCACTGTGGGTTTCCACCCATTTCAACAGACGCATTTCTGTTCAGCCAACTTTTATTGTGTGATGGTTGCGGAGGACATTTCATCCTTCCCAGAGACATATTTACAACGAGCAAACATTCTCTGGGAACTCAGGGTCTTCACCAATCTTCTAAGGCTCAGGGATCATGGGTGGGTCTGGCCCTATCTAGTTGTAGGGATCTGGGCCTACGATGTTCCACAAAGCTCCCCACCGTCATTTTGGTGTTTCCCCAGGACTGCCACAGGTCCTATTATAAGACAGTCGTGGGGAGAACATCACCAGGAGTGGTGGGGGAGCCAGCGGGAGCCACCCTCGATATCCCACCCATGGTGGCTTTTCCTCCTGTCCTTTGGTGAGTGTTGGCTGGTGTGATTCCCGGCACATGCTTGTGAGCCCTGAGGGACCCTGGCTCTACCACCCATCCTAACACCGAGGCCTGGCATGGATCCCCTTCACTTGCAGCATCCACGGCTCAGATGACTATTGAATATAGTCAGGTCCTAGATACTGACAAAGGGAGAGGAAGGTGCAAAACAACCCAAGATGAGAGTGGGGTGCTAGTGCTGTCGGGTGGAGGCGGAGGTGCCACTCATTTCAGGATCACAGGGGCCGCTTCCCTGCCCATTCATCCGTGTATTCATTCATTCACTCATTCAGCAAACGCTTGCTGTTTGAGGAACTGCTGTGTGCTAGGCATTGTGTAGAAGAGAAAATACAGGCCCAGAGAAATTGTGACTTGGATAAAGTAACTGAGCTGGGCTTGGCGACTTCGCTGTTGAGCTGGGTGTGCTCTGCTTGTCTCTCCAGATCCATTCTCCCTGCCTCCATTCTTACACACCGCTCTGCACCGTGTAAGGCTGGGCTCCGGACACATTCAGGCTCCTTTGTCCAGTGGCTTCGCGTTGTATTCCACCAACGAGAGGCACCGACAGGAGGTGGAAAGCAGGGAGGAGAGGCCAGGCTATGTACCGCCCTGGGACGTCTTTGCTGGGTTGCAGTATGGCAATGTTTGCCCTTCTCCACCTGATGTTTTGGGCTCCACCTTTTCTAACAGTTACAGCTCTCACTAGGTTCGGATAACCAAGCCCTCCCCTTCCATCTCAGGCTAAGGAATGCCCATGGCTTCCTAAAGATGTGGGCTCCAGGTTCACTCATCTTCCTTTGTTGATTTCCCTTAACCTGGCCAGCAACTTTGGGGGTACCCCTCCCATAAACCTTCTTCATTTGCTTTTATTCAAGCATGCTGTTTCCGTCAGCATCCTGACCGGTGCCATAATTGGTACTCAAAGTCCCCGCAGCAAGTAGAATCTCAAAACAGGACCCCGGGATTGTGCAGAGCAGGTTTGCTAATCACTAATCCCAAGGGAGGACTCCCAGACAGGGTAGAAAGCGAAGATCATCACCCTGCCAGTTTCCAGGAGTAGGAGTCCAATCGCTTCTGCCCATGCCATCTTGGGCTACAGATTTACCAACTGCCCAAGTCTGTGAAACAAAACACGCTCACACGAAACCAGCTATGTGAGGTGGGTATTCCTTAGAAATTGGCAGCCAGGGACAGAAGATGTCTCAGATCCATTGTGAGCCTGTCCCCCAAGGTTCAAGAAGGCTATCCCGGGGCTGATGGAGTCTCAACTGCGTGTGCCCCACTTAGACCACGGCCGAGGGACCCTGAAGAACAGCCCACCTGGGTAATGTAGTGCAGGGCTGGGCAAAGCTTTGAAGGACATCCTGCTCCCAGGGGAGGCAGGCACGGAGCCGGGGCTGTCCCGGGCAGCCTCTCCCTAACTCAAGATCTGATATTCTTTAGGAGGAACAGGACAAGGCCTGGCTGCTTCAGGCAGTTCCTCCCTGTCTCAGGATGTTACATCCCCAGCACATCTTACAGTTATTCTGAGAGCTACATGCTGGGAAAAAGGAGAGAAATGGGTCGGTTCGAGGCTACTTGGAGAACCATCCTGAGGGCCCCTGGGACTGTGTGCTCACATCTTGGATGAATGCACAGATGATTTTCCTCGTGGAGAGAAAATGGCTTTAAATAGAAGGTGAGACCTCAGCTGATCCCATGAGAAGGGTGACTTCAACTGGGGTGCTGTGTCCCAGGGCTTCCTAAGCCTGGGATTCTCAACGAGGAATCTGGGAAACAGGACGGAAAGCAACGGAGGAATAGAAAAAGATCTTGTTTCATTGATTCTCAATGAGCCAAGTTTAGCAGTTCCACGAGGGCACCTGGTCAGAAAAGGAGAGCTCTGGTTCCATTTCTTCTAATAATTTACTCTGTGACCTTGGGAAATGTCCTCCATTCTAGTGCTCTGCATGATACATGAGTCTATGTGAATGCCAGTTATTTTTATTTTTATATTCCTCTCTCTCCTCTCTTTACTACTGCCTTACTTAGAAAGTAGCTTTTTCTCAATATTCCCAAAAACATATTTCAAAAGTTTTTTTTTTATGACTTATTGGAAATAATGCTATTAGAGAATGAGAAAGTACTGGAAATGCCGCTGGCTGGCTCCATGCAGATGCGTGGACTGGGCACTCTGGTGGTGACGGTTATACAGTCTGAGAAGCCAGCAGGGCTCTGAGCTCTATCCCCAGCCAAGTGACTTGCTGGCATTAGGAGACAGCTTTGCCAGCCCAGAGAGAAATGCAGCGGGGAAGAGGCTGTGTCCTGGTTGACTGCATGAAGTCTTTTTTTTAATTTGAGATAGGATCTCACTTTGTTGCCCAGGCTGGAGTGCAGTGGCATGATCATGGCTCACTGTAGCCTCAACCTCTGGGCTCAAGTGATCCTCCTGTTTCAGCCTCCTGAGTAGCTGGGACTACAGGTGCATGCCACCACGCCTGGCTAATTTTTGTTTTTGTTTTGTTTTGGTTTTGGTAGGTGGGGTTTCTACAAAAAAAAAAATGTTCACAATGTTGCCCAGGCTTGTCTCAAACAACTGGACTCAAGCTATCTGCCCACCTCGGCCTCCCAAAGTGTTGGGATTATAGGTGTGAGCCACTGCACCTAGCCTCATTAAGATTTTAATATGCGTAAGTTTATCTTTTTAAAAAACCCATACTGAGTATATAGGAAAAGAGACAACATATAAATAAGCTTTTTCACAATCAAATTAAATATTACTTAAATAAGCTGAGCTTTCCTAACTAAATGCTGCCACAGGTATGATTTTAAAATATTTTTCTTTTTCAGAATAGTTTTTTTTTTTTTTTTAAGAGACAGAGTCCTGCTATGTTGCTCAGGCTGGTCTTGAACTCCTGGATTCAATCAGTCCTCCCGCCTCAGCCTCCCCAAGTGCTTGGACTACAGCTGTAAACTCCTGTGCCCGGCTTGCACAGTCTTGATAACCTTCTGTGGCTGGCAGGTATCCAGTGCTTCCCAGAAGACCACTTGTGGGTCCGCAGGAAGAGGGGGTTTATTTCTGAAGGTCCAGTCTTAGCTTGTCCATAAAATCAGCCTCTTCACACTCATCACCCCAGGCTGCACTCTTCCCTCTTTAGTCATTATGGGGAGATGGTGATATGTGCCCTCCCCTGACTAGAGGCAGGGCTTCAGCTAAGCCTTGACCTGGGGTGCAGCAGATCGCCTGTGCAGGGGGTCTCCTCAGCCAATGATGACTTACTCCCTGGAAACTGCCCCAGTACACAGGAGACGCTCATGGTTTCTGAGCCTTCTTGTCCTCCCCATGCACTGACTTGTGGTCACTGACTGATTTGGGGACAGCATTGTTTCCATCTCAGGCCAATCACAGTTGTCCTCCTGGGAACGGGAATGGTGAGCGGTGGCCACGCAGACTGGAGCTGGGACCCTGGTGATTGTGCAGAGCGATGGGAGCTTGGCCAGGACTGTCTAGTTTCCGTCTTCCTGTGGTTTGGCTGTTCAGCCCTTCCCTCAAATTTGGGAGTTACTCAGTCCCTCGGAAATGCGTCCAGCTCGAGTTTGTGAGAGTCACTTTCTATTTCTTCCATTTTATTACTGGGGTGGTGGAGAGGAAGGCAGCATGCTTCTGATTGGCCTGCGAGACACCCCCTAGCGGGTCCTCATTCCCACCAGGGCCTGGTTCCCAGCGCCTCTTCATGCACATGCCGAACAGTGATAGAAGCTCTTGCACAACCCTCTGCCTTCGCTGCATTGAAACTGCCTTCACATCCTTCTGTTTCCTCTTGCCTGATCTCACCTCAGTGTCATGGTGCAGCTCAGCCTCCTCCTCTGTGAAGCCTTCTTTGTCCTCCTTCTTGGGTGCTCTCTTTCCAGTGCTATGGGATCAGTCAGGCCCAGCAGTGTGACATTCAATTGATCACCCAGAGTTTCTGGTGTGTTTCTGCTCCCTGGAGGCATGGACTCATTCTGACACTTCCTTTCTATCCCTCAGTGCTGAACGCAGAGTCACACACCTTTAGGTGCTCAATGGCACTTTACTCAGCAGAGATGGGAAGGAGCAAACATCTTGAGGAACAAGAAGACCCCAGTTCCTCATCAGGATAAAGACTGTATTTTCAGAGGAAGTCAGGCCAGAATGTGGCAGGCATCGAGTGTCAGGATGAGGAACTCGTCCCAGGTGTGAGTCCTCAAAATGCAAACACAGCCACTAATTGTAAGGAGCCTCCAAAGAGACAGTGATAGTTGATGGAAGGAAGCAGCATGGAGGAAAGGACAGTGGCATAGGAAGAGTGACCTATTCCATTGGGGTGGAAGGGTGCTGATCAGATTTAGTCAACAGTCATCGAGTTCCTCCCTTGTCCTAGAGACTGGTCTGAGTGTTTTCACACTACCTGGTTTAATTTACGCAAAACCCTGTGAGGTGCATAGTCCAGGCTCGGAGATAAGAGGATTGAAGCTCAGGATGCTGAGTGACTTGTCCATGGTCAGATGGTGATTAAGGGGCAGAGCTTGGGCAGGAAGCCAGGTGTGCCCCAGGTGTTCTGACTCCAGAGCATCTTCCCTCTGTAGCCTTTGGCTTTCCTTTTACGTGAGTCACTGCGGTCATCCTCTCAGCTGTGAGCTTCACCACTAGAGACTAGTTGCCAAAACTGTGCTGGACATGTATGTTTATTGCAGCACTATTTACGATAGCAAAGACTTCGAATCAACCCCAAATGCCCATCAATGATAGACTGGATAAAGGAAATGTGGCACATATACACCATGGAATACTATGCAGCCATAAAAAAGGATGAGTTCATGTCCTTTGCAGGGACATGGATGAAGCTGGAAACCATCATTCTCAGCAAACTAACACAGGAACAGAAAACCAAACACTGCATGTTCTCACTCGTAAGTGGGAGTTGAACAATGAGAAGACATGGACACAGGGAGGGGAACATCACACACTGGGGTCTGTTGCGGGGTGGGGGGCAAGGGGAGAGAGAGCATTAGGACAAATACCTAATGCATCCCGGGCTTAAAACCTAGATGAGAAGTTGATAGGTGCAGCAAACCACCATGGCACATGTGGTATACCTATGTAACAAACCTGCACATTCTGCACATGTATCCCAGAACTTAAAGTAAACAAACAAAACTGTGCTGGACACACCATCCTTTGGCACAATGTGGCCTAAAGGGACCTGCCTAGTCAGGTTTGTGCTGTGCCCTCTGCAGCTGGGCAGAATTAATTCCTCCACATCTCTTCAGGTTTCAGTTCTCACAGCCCTGTGCACCTGTTTTAATCGCTTGTACCGGAACTGTAATCTTCTACTTATTTGTATGATTATTGGGTGATGGTGGTCTCCCCGCTGCCCTGACACACACACACACACACACACACGTGCCCATGCACAATTGTGAGCTCCATTAGAACAGACAGCTGTGTGCTGCTGTTACCATCTCCATCTGTTTTCATTAGTTATGACCATTCCTGGCACATGGCAGGTACACAATTATTTGTAGGTGAGCAGAAGTGTGAATGAACAAGTGCTTGAATAGAAAATAAAGGAATGGATTGTGGATGTGACACATTTGGCCCAAACATTCAAATCCCTCATTATGGGTCTGAATAAATGCTGCGAGGAAGCTAGAGATTGCTCCAGGACTTCCCACCTCTTCTGTTCTGCCCTGGCCTCTGAAAACTCCCTGCCTCCGTCCTCTCCTCTCAGAATCTGCCTTCGGACCATGTTTTCCATCAGGAAGCTCATCACATGCCCCATGCTAAGAGGGAGATGACCGCCAGTGGCCTCTGTGCCACCCTCCTGTGGGGCTCTGTGGTGAACAGAAAGCGGCTCCCTAACTGGGGAATGATGTTGTAAAGGCGATAGGTTGGGAGATGCATTCCTCCTATCATGCCAGTTACACCAAGACTGAGGTCTGCAACTTTTACAAATGTGCAGATCCACGAAGCCCACAGCCCTATTACCTCCCCTTGGTGCTGTCCTCGCAATAGTGAGTGAGTTCTTGTGAGATCTGCTTGTTTAAAAGTGCATGGCCCCTTCCTCTCCCTCTCTTGCTCCTGCTCCGGCCCTGTGAAGTGCCTCCTCCTGCGTCACCTTCTGCCGTGAGTAAAAGCTTCCCGAGGCCTTCCCAGAAGCAGACACTGCTATGCTTCCTGTACAGCCTGCAGAACCGTGAGCCAGTTAAGTCTGTTTTCTTTTCTTTTGAAGGAGTCTCTCTCTGTCGCCCAGGCTGGAGTACAGTGGCACAATCTTGGCTCACTGCAACCTCTGCCTCCTGGGTTCAAGTGATTCTCCTGCCTCAGCCTCCCGAGTAGCTGGGACTACAGGTGGCCCCCACCACACCTGGCTAATTTTTTGTATTTTTAGTAGAGATGGGGTTTCACTGTGTTAGCTAGGATGGTCTTGATCTCCTGACCTCGTGATCCACCTGCCTCGGCCTCCCAAAGTGCTGGGATTATAGGCGTGAGCCCCTGCACCCGGCCCAAGCTTCTTTTCTTATAAATCACTCATTCTTAGGTATTTCTTTACAGCAGTGCAAGAACAGCCTAATATATCAGTTCAAACACGGGAAGGAAGGGAAAGTGGAGGGGGAGTTTACCACAGAAGCAGTGATTCAATCACCCATGCCAAAGTCCCAGCTACTCAGGAGGCTGAGGCAGGAGGATTGCTTGAGCCCAAGAAGTCAAGGTTGCAGTGAGGGGTGATCATGCCACCGCACTCCAGCCTGGGTGAAAGAGTGATGTAAACAATCTCTATTCTCCAAAAGTTCTCCGCGGCCTTTCACAACCAGCCCTGATTTCTCCCACAGTGAGAGAATGGCTATTATTATTATTATTATTCTTTTTTACCTTCGATTAGTCGATCTGCTGCAGAACCTCCTGTAAGTAGAATCTAGAACATACACGCTTTTGTGTCTGGCTTCTTTTGCTCAGCAGAATGGCTGAGAGAGTCGCCCGTGTGTTGCATGAGCAGACTTTTAGTACCAAGTATGTTTTGTTACGTGACTACACCACAGTTTGTTTATCCATTTTCCTGCTGATGGACGTTTGGGCTATTTGTTCTTATAAGTCTTTCACTGTGTCGTCTGCATTTTGTTTTGTGTTTTGTGAAGTTCCAACAGGAAGATTTTTTATTTGTCTTTAGAATGGTAACTGCATAGACCACCTTCCTCTTTTAGTCCCTGCCCCTTGTAAAGCCGTAAGGAAAGGATCATGTTTCTTCTCCTCCACCCACCCTCACCTAATTGTAGCTAATGTTATTTTTCTCAGTGTTAACTTTGTTCTTTTGTTACTTGGCCTGGGAGTTTCAAATCACAGCTGTTACTCAGCTCATTGATACCACAGCCTCCACCTCTGGGGTTCAAGCCATTCTCCTGCCTCAGCCTCCCGAGTAGCTGGGATTACAGGCATATGCCACCACATCCAGCTAATTTTTGGATTTGCAGTAGAGATGGGGTTTCACCGTGTTGGCCAGGCTGGTCTTGATCTCCTGACCTCAAGTGATCCACCTGCCTTGCCTCCTAAAATGCTGGGATTCCAGGTGTGAGCTACCACACCTGGCCAGTATACCTTTTCTATCGTCTACCTTCTTTCCTCTTCCACTCCTATTTATTTATTCTGTGCATCATTTCTACATTGCTGGACCCATAATATTTATATTCTGCTCTGTCACTAATCCTCATGTATGTTTTAGCGTTTATTTTACAATTAAATGCAGCCAAGGCTCTTTGTTAGCCTGTCTGGTTTAGTTTTCCTTTGAAAACTTTTAAAAAAAATTTTGATTCAGTAGAAATGGGGTCTCACTATGTTGGCCAGGCTGGTCTTGAACTCCTGAACTTAAGTGATTCTCCCACCTCGGCCTCCCAAAACACTGGGATTACAGGTATGAGTCATTGTGTCTGGCCTGTCTGGTTTAACTTCCTAACCAATCTTCAGGTTAGCTGAATTTCGTACCCCAGCACTTTCCTGAAGGAGACTCATAAGAGCAATATCATTCGAATTCTTTCCTGTTAAAAAACTTTTGTCTGTCATCTATGAATGAAGGACCATTTGGCTGGATACAAAATACTTGGCTTACACTCTCTGTACTTGAAGGCCTAGTGTGTGTTGTTACATTGTCTTCTGGCTTTGAATTTTTCTGAGGCAAGCCCAATTTCTTCCCTTAGAAGTGACTTTTTTTGTCTGACTGCACGAAGGATTCCTTTTTAATCTTTGAAGTTCAATAACTTTAATAGCCCATGTTGTAAGGTCAACAATTCTGGGTTAATTTTCCCTGGTTACATTGTATTTCTTTTAAATGTATACATAAAATCTTTATTTTATGAAAGAGTTCTTCGATTATACATTTAATTTGTTCCATTATTTTGATTTTCTTTTTTTGTAAAAAAAGAATTTGATTATGCATGCATCGGCTTGCTTTTACTTGTTTTCTGCATATATTCTATTCTGTCTAGTCGTTTTAATTTCAGTCTT
Source organism: Homo sapiens (assembly GCF_000001405.40). Lineage (NCBI taxonomy): Eukaryota > Metazoa > Chordata > Mammalia > Primates > Hominidae > Homo > Homo sapiens. The sequence continues at coordinate 153,015,656 of NC_000007.14, forward strand.
TGGGGCTGGGTGTGGTGGCTCACGCCTGTAATCCTAGCACTTTGTGAGGCCAAGGTGGGCAGATCACCTGAGGTCAGGAGTTCGAGACCAGCCTGACCAACATGGAGAAACCTCATCTCTACTAAAAATACAAAAAAAGCCGGTGACCTTGTGCAAATTACTTCTCCTGTCTGGGCCTCTATCTCTCATCTGTACGACAAGGAGGTGACTTCACGGCCTCCTCTTGCCCCCTCGGTTCCAGCAATTTCATTATTAAAGTCATCTTCGGAGAGAGGGATGGATGGCGTGTCTCCGGGCACCCAGTCTGATGTCGAGCCGTTACGGCTGGAATGTGTCTTTGCAGAGAGCCGCTGTCCTGCGTGGACGCCAGCTTTTCCCAGCAGTCATGCTGGGTGGGACAGTGGCACCGGGGGAGGTGACAGGACTGGGGCAATGTGGGGAATGAAGACTCAATCTTTCCATGTCTGCTCCTTCTGGAGGATCTCCTGGCTTCAGGGACTTCAGGGACTTTGGCTTGAAGACAGAAATGAAATTCTCATTTCATGCCTGTAATCTGGCACATGCCTGTAATCCCAGCTACTCGGGAGGCTGAGGCAGGAGAATCGCTTGAACCCAGGAGGTGGAGATTACGTTGAGCCGAGATCGCGCCATTGCACTCCAGCCTGGGCAAGAAGAGCGAAACTCCATTTCAGAATAATAATAATGATTCAGTTTTTCTTTTCACTCTATCACTTGTGTACTTTTTATCCCTCGTATCACTTAGTGGCTGTACCAGTATCTATGCCTGTGGTTTGCCCTGGTCTCATTCCAATTTCATCTTAATTTCTGCAATGATTTTATTTTCTTCTCCAACTTATTTTCCCAGTTTGCCCACTGCTGCTTCATCTTGTTCTTACCATCTCATGCTCTTTCCTGAGTAACTGAGTGTCCGTCCGCCTGATGTTTTTCCTTAATAGGGGCAATTCTTAAGATTAAAAAAAAAGCACAGGAAATATCAGGTCACTATTTTTAATTGTTTTATGGCAGCATTTTTTTTGGTGAGTGTTATTTTTCTGTTAGGACATTTGATTGCTCATTTCCCGCCTTTTTCTAACAGCATCTTTAACTTATTTTGTATTAGTTATTATTAAATAAGTGAGGCTTTCCTGGAGACATGAGGGATCTTCTATCAGAAGAGGCAAATTGTTTCCTGAAAATAAGACTCATCCACTTAATAAGCTTTGACCTGAATAGTGGGCAATCAGTATATATAGTTGTGGGTTGAATAAATACCAGAAAAGTATCTGATTAATGCATTCATACTCAGTAATAAGCGGCTTTGCACTGATTTTCAGGACGTGAATGGGAGACTTCTTGTTGAGACTGATTAAACCTCAGGGAATAAATAATAAATTAAGAATATCCTTTGTAATGCAAATGAAGTTATTGTATATGTAAAAACAACTTAAAAGTGTTTTAAAAAGAGATAAATCTAAAATGTTTTTCTTCTCAGTTTTCAGCGTTAAAAACTGGAATTATAAAATTGAGTATAAAAATAATTAAAATGAGCTTTCTTTAGTGTGGGGGTTAATAGAAACAGGAGGGAGGGAAGAACCAGAGGGAGAGGAGGAGGAAGGGACATCAAGAGAGAAAAACAACTTTGCTCTTCAGAGAAGCATGAGGCCCAGATCCCCGGGGCAGCCTCGTGAGGGATGCCTGGGGGCTGGGAGAGACTGGAGAGTTCGCCCTGTGTGGTGGCAATGTCCCCAGCGGCCGGGCTGCATGCAGCCACAGGGTTTATTTCTCCGTGCTGCCACACGTGGAACGGAGTGTGTCTGGGTCCAGCAGAACGGTGCTCACTCTGTCTCCCAGGCTGGAGTGCACTGGTGCAATCTCGGCTCACTGCAACCTCTGCCTCCCGGTGCCATTAATCCGGATAACTGAAGTCAGGGCCAAGCCGAGGGCGAGTGCTCCTCTACAATCATAAAAATGCAGAAAGTGCCCTGCCTGGGAGCCCGCAGAACAACTGGCTTGTAGACAAATCTTGGCAGTAAAAGCCAGGTGACCTTGGGCAAATTACTTCTCCTGTCTGGGCCTCTATCTCTCATCTGTACGACAAGGAGGCGACTTCACGGCCTCCTCTTGCCCCCTCGGTTCCAACAATTTCATTATTGGAGTCGTCTTCGGAGAGAAGGATGCATGGCGTGTTTCCGGGCACCCAGTCTGATGTCGAGCCATTACGGCTGGAATGTGTCTTTGCAGAAAGCCGCTGTCCTGCATGGATGCCAGCTTTTCCCAGCAGTCATGCTGGGTGGGACAGTGGCACCAGGGGAGGCGACAGGACTGGGGCAACCTGGGGAATGAAGACTCAGTCTTTCCACGTCTGCTCCTTCTGGAGGATCTCCTGGCTTCAGGGACTTCAGGGACTTTGGCTTGAAGACAGAAATGAAATTCTCAATAATTTCAAAAAGATGAAAAATACTGTAGTCCCTCCTACACATTGCCACCCACATTCTTTCTTTTCTCTCTTTTTTTTTCGAGAAAGAGTCTCCCTCTGGTTCCCAGGCTGGAGTGCACTGGTGCAATCTCGGCTCACTGCAACCTCGGCTCACTGCAACCTCTGCCTCCTGGGTTCAGCAATTCTTGTGCCTCAGCCTCCTGAATAGCTGGACTACAGGCACCGGCCACCATGCTCAGCTAATTTTTTGAATTTTTAGTAGAGACGGGGTTTTGCCATGTTTCCCAGGCTGGTCTCGAACTCCTGAGTTCAGGCAATCCTCCTGCCTCGGCCTCCCAAAGTCCTGGGATTACAGGTGTGAGCCACCACACCCAGCCCACATTCTCTTTCTAAAACACATCTTGTTACTCCCCAGGTGTCTACTGACTGACGCGTCCCTTGGCCTGAAGTTTGCATTTTGGGCCTATAAGGACAGACTTTGTTTTACTCGTCTTCATGTCCTCAGAACTTAGAATGGGACCTCACATGAACCCTGATGGCCGAGGCCCTGCTGTCTTGAGACTTATGTCCAGGTCCATCTTCCTTACAAATCCCTGGGCCTCAAACCAAGGGCTGAATGGAGGAAGGGAGAGGGTGGGCTGCTACTGAGTGAGCAGACTTTCTCTCTGCAGACTTAGGCTTTCTTCTGGGTCATCCGTGGTTTAAATTAAGTTTTAATGGTTTCAACCTGGGAGTTCCCTGATGGAAGGTGTAGCAGCCAGATGCTGAGGGGCCCCTTATCCGCACTTACCAGTATCTCATTTGTGGAAGCCCCTGCCCTCCACAGAACAATCAAATGTTGCTTCCATGATTATGTTATGTAAGATTAGAAGATGTTACACATTTTGTCCTGCTGGCTGACTCTCTTGCCTCGCTCCCTTGCTGGATTTTTTTTTTTTTTTTTGAGACAGGGTCTCACTCTATCACCCAGGCTGGAGTGCAATGGCATGATCACCACTCACTGCAGCCTTGACCTCCTGTGCTCAAGCAATCCTCCAGCCTCAGCCTCCTGAGTCACTGGGACCACAGGTGCATGTCCTGCCCAGCTAATTTTTGTATTTTTTGTAGAGACGAGGTTTTGCCATGTTGCCCAGGCTGGTCTCAAACTCCTGAGCTCAAGCAGTCTGTCGCCTCAGCCTGCCAAAGTGCTGGGATTACAGGTGTGAGCCGCCACAGCTGGCCTCTTTGCTGGCTTTAATGATACTCACTGACATATGCAGACCGCTGCACCCGGCCTCTTTGCTGGCTTTCATGGTGCACGCTGCCATATGCAGAGACCTGCAGGACAGGGAACTGCAGGTGGCCTCCAGCCAGCAACCAGCAGTGAGCTGAGATCTCGCCCCACCTCATAAGGCACTGAATCTTGCTCTCGGCCCTGTGAGCTCAGAGGCGAAGCCTCAGTCGAGACCTCAGATGAGACTCCAGCCCTGGCCGATGCCTTGAGTGCAACCCGATGAGATACGTTGGTGCGGCAGAGGAGCCCGCTGAGTCGTGCCTGGATTCCTGATAGACAAACTGGGTCATAATATACGTGCATTGTTTTAAACTACCAGTAAGGAAGGAGACCACTACTACTCCTGCTGCCCTCCTCCCCCGACCTTGCCTAGTTCACAAGACAGGAGGAAAGAGAGAAAGCAAAAAGTTGGAAAGAAACAAAAATAAGATAAATAGCCAGACAACCTTGGCACCACCACCCGGCCCTAGGAGTTAAAAAAGTAATAATAATAACATCAACCCCTGACCTAAACTACTTGCGTTATCTGTAAATTCCAGACATTGTATGAAAAAGCATCGCAAAACTTTCTGTTCTGTTAGCTGATGCATGTAGACCCCAGTCTCGTTTCCCATGCTAGCTCGATTTATCACGACCTTTCACGTGGACCCCTTAAAGTTTTAAGCCTTTAAAAAGGCCAAGGATTTCTTTTTTGGGGAGCTCGGCTCTTCAGACGCGAGTCTGCCGATGCTCCCGGCCGAATAGACCACTTCTTTAATCCGGTGTCTGAGGAGTTTTGGCTGCGGCTGGTCCTGCTATACCAAGTGTGTGCTGATTTGCTCTGTACCTAAGGATAACTAGTAAAGAAGGTACCCAGAGTTAGTGACACTCAAGGTTCAGGGCACAAACTTTAAGACTGCCACGTTGGCCTAAGTCTCTGAAACCAGTCACAAGATTGGGGATATCAGGGACCACCCTCACTTCAGACCACGTGGCTAGGAATATGGGGTTCCCGTGACAACCTTCAGGTTCAGTAATTCACTAGAAGAACTCACAGAACTCAAGAAAGTGCCGTACTTACAATCACAGTTTCATTGTCGCAAAAGGATACAAACTAGACCCGGCCAAAGGAAGAGACGCAGAGGATGAAGTCTGGGGGCTCCCATCACCCTCTCAGCGTGGGTGTGTGATGGTGCAGAGTCTCTGCACCTGGGAGCTCACCTGTGCTTTGAGTCCGGGGAGTTTATGGAGGCTTCATCGCCTAGGCATGGGTGATTGAATCATTGATTTTGTGGCAAACTCCCCTCCGTTTTCCCTTCTCTTCTCAGTTTGAACTGATATATTAGGCTGTTCTTGAATTGCTATAAAGAAATACCTGAGACTGGGTAATTTATTTAATTTTATTTTTTATTTTTCATTTTACTTTAAGTTCTGGGATACATGTGCAGAATGTGCAGGTTTGTTACATAGGTATACATGTGCCATGGTGGTTTGCTGCACCTATCAACTCGTCATCTAGGTTTTAAACCCTGCATACATTAGGTATTTGTCCTAATGCTCTCCCTCCCCTTGTCCCCCACCCCCCAACAGACCCCAGTGTGTGATGTTCCCCTCCCTGTGTCCATGTGTTCTCATTGTTTGACTCCCGCCTATGAGTGAGAACATGCAGTGTTTGGTTTTCTGTTCCTGTGTTAGTTTGCTGGGAATGATGGCTTCCAGCTTCATCCATGTCCCTGCAAAGGACATGAACTCATTCTTTTTTATAGCTGCATAGTATTCCATGGTGTATATGTGCCACATTTTCTTAATCCAGTCTGTCGTTGATGGGCATTTGGGTTGATTCCAAGTCTTTGCTATCGTAAATAGTGCCGCAATAAACATATGCATGCCTGTGTCTTTAATTGGCTCAAGGTTCTGCAGGCTGTACAGGAAGCATAGTGGCATCTGCTTCTGGGGAGGCCTCAGGAAGCTTTTACTCATGGTGGAGGGTGAAGCAGGAGTAGGCACTTCACATGGCTGGATCAGGAGCGAGAGAGAGAGAGGAAGGTGTCATGCTCTTTTAAACAACCAGATTTTGTAAGAACTCACTATCATGAGGACAGCACCAAAGGGATGGGGCTAAACCATTCGTGAGAAATCCGCCTCCATGATCCAGTCACCTCCCACCAGACCCCACCTCCAACACTGGGGATTACAATTCAACATGAGATTTGGGGGGTGACAAATATCCAAACCATGTCAGCAGATGTCACACAGCTCAAAGCACCAATCCTCGAATGATATGGCTGTTCTTTCTGGCTGGCCCCACCCTGAGTCACCCCATGGGTATAAACTGCCAGATGGTTGGAGGGGCCCACCGTGAACAGACACTCCTGTCGCTTGGGACCTTCTAGGAGTTCAGGGACTTTCTCCCAGGACCTGGGACAGAGGTCAGGCCTTTCTTTGGGTAAAGTTAATTCCTCACGAGGTAGCAGGGATGGTTTCTGGGCAATGGAAAGGAGTGTTGGTTATTCGGGAAGCAGAGGATGGGTCCCGCCCTAAGGACAGGGACCTGGAGGCCAGGTTGAACACAGCTTGGGTTGAAGTTATCCTTGTGTGAGACACACTAAGGGCGGTAGAATTTTTCATGCAGAGGATTTTCAGGAAAAAGTAGCCTAACATTTGAAAAAGGGCAAAACATGGTTTCACAACCTGTGAATATCATGTCCACCTGAAGGTCATCTGACTCATGGGAAGGGTAATTGTGTTTCACTAGCAATTGATTGAGACCCAGGTGTTTTACAACCCTGTAAAATTAGCGGTTAACTTGCAGAAATCTGACAAAGGGTTCTCATTTTTTTCTGACTAATAGCAAAGATAACCTCAAAGTTTATGGTTTTATTGACCTACAGGACATTTACCAGTTTCTTAATATAGAATTCAGCAAACTTACTTCCTTTTCCCTCTGCCTGTTGTTCTCTTTCCCCCTGTTGATTTCTCTTTCATTCTCGTCCTCTCTCCTGTCCGCCTTTCTCTTCGCCTCTTTCCCTTGGCTCCTCACAGCCTTTCCTGTCTCCACTTCCCGTGACTCCTTCCACAATTACAGTGGCCTGAATACTCTGTTTCCTCCCCACTGTGGGGCAAGTAGAGGCTGTGTGTTCTCAATCCCAGAAAACAGGAGGTGCATTTCAGTAGCAATATTTGATTTCCCTAAGTATAGTGAAGAATAATGCCCAATTCAAAACTGGTTCATTGAGTCCCCATGTATTACTCCCTGGCGGGGAGGGTAATAGATCTTTGTGTCCTGAACTGTTCCTGCAGCTCAGGGAAAAATAAAAGAGCAGCGAGCAATAAATTATAGGATAAATGAAAATATACACAGGACCTCTGTGATTTTGTCTGAATGCAACACTGGGTTCTAATCAATATAATGTATTTTTTAAAATAGCCCATTATAATATAATGGGGCAATAAATACCGATAAAAGTGTTCCCAGTGAGTCATTCCTTTTGGAATAATGACTATTTGATTATAGAATGATTTGGCTTTTAATTTACACCAGCGCTGAATGTGTTCCTGTTAACTTAATATTCTCCCGCTGGTGAGTGCAGGCCGGTCCCAGACAATGATGAATGGAAACACAGTGGGGAGCTTCATTATGGAGCAGCTCCCGTGTGGGGCCACCCTGGGTTGTGTGTCCTGCAGGCTTCCAGATCCATTCGGAGTGAGTCTTCCTGCTCCCGGGGCACTGCCTGGTCTGGCGGGGCAGTTGAGTGGGTGGGGCACAGGGTGTGTCTGTATCCCCTCTTGCCTTTCTCTATCAATGGACTCTGGGTGACGTAAAACCTGGCGCATTCAGTCATTTAAAAGGACTTCTTTAAGAGCCTGCTCTGTGCCAGGCACTGTTTAAGGGCAGTAGTGGAAGAAAAAAGTAACCACAAAACAAGAACCCTGGAGTGTGGCATTTTGGGAAAGGACAGGAATGCTGCGCGAGATAAAGCCAGGCGCTGGTTAAAGGGGGAGTGTGGCCTTTACTCAGTAGTGACCCTTGCAATGGGGCAGGTGCTGCAGTGAGGTCGGAATGCAACTGGGATTTGTGCAGAGGCGACGGAGCGCCCTAAAGGGAAAGGGGGCAGGTGAGCTGGGCTCCAGCAGAGACTGGGTTTGTTACCTGGTGCTTGTCTGAAAGGAGAAGCAAACTTCTCACATCTGTGACAGGAGGTGGTTGTGCTGATTAGAGCAAGGAGCCCACTGGGCTGGAGGTGGAGAGTGGGAGATATTCTTCTGAATGTTTGCATTTCTGAGAGAAGCCCCCAGGTATCTGAGAAGACCTTCTGGGTGGTGGAAGATCATCACGAAGGGGGAGAGAAAGGATGTGCAACTGCAAGCTTTATGCAGTAGCTGCCGTAAGGGCTTCCCAGGGCCTGTCACCAGATATCAGCTGGAACGGACAGTAACCCTCCAAGCAACGTTGAGCTTTCTCAGGCAGGCACTTTAGCAGTGCTAGGGTCACTTTAGCAGTACCAGGGATTTGACCTTGGGCTGTTAGATACTATGCAGCCATAAAAAAGGATGAGTTCATGTCCTTTGTAGGGACATGGGTGAAATTGGAAATCATCATTCTCAGTAAACTATCGCAAGAACAAAAAACCAAACACCGCATATTCTCACTCATAGGTGGGAATTGAACAATGAGAACACATGGACACAGGAAGGGGAACATCACACTCTGGGGACTGTGGTGGGGTGGGGGGAGGGGGGAGGGATAGCACTGGGAGATATACCTAATGCTAGATGACGAGTTAGTGGGTGCAGCGCACCAGCATGGCACATGTATACATATGTAACTAACCTGCACATTGTGCACATGTACCCTAAAACTTAAAGTATAATAATAATAATAAAAAAAAATGCTGTTAGTGTCCTTTAAGTCTTTTAGCATGGAATGGGGATGGGGATGAAATCTTTTGTGCTGAGTGTCTGCTGTTTTTATAGCCAAAGTTGAGGCCTGGTTAAAGAGAGGGCTCAGAGGAGCTGGACTAGAGTTTGGTCAAGAGGATGGTTTTTATCAATTCCCATTAGCATGAGGAAGGGATTTCCTTCATCTACAACCCTTTTCCCTCTCCTCTCTCTCTCTCACCACCCAGCTGCCTCCCAGACACTTCTTCCAGCTACAAGGGTGGAGCTGGGGTTAGACCTCCAGCAAGCAATGTTCTAAGCTTTGGACCACAGCAGTCATCCCATTCTCTAGGACAGAAAAAATGAGAATTGTCTGGCAAGAATTTCTGTTTTACTAAGTGAATTGTAGACTAACTAGTCATTCAACACTGTCATCCCCAAACTGAAGATGTCTGAAGCCGGCCAGACACAGTGGCTCATGCCTTTAATCCTAGCACTTTGGGAGGCCAAGGTAGGAGAATCGTTTGAGGCCAGGAGTTAGAGACCAGCCTGTGCAACACAGGAAGACCTTGTCTCTATAAAACATTAAGCTGGGCATGGTGGTGACTGCTTGTATTCCCAGGTATTTGGGAGGCTGAGCCCAACAGTTTGAAGTTACACTGAGCTATGATTGCACCACTGCACTCCAACATGGGTGAAGAGTTACAGCCTGTGTCTTAAAAAAAAAAAAATGTCTACAGCTGAATTCATCATCTTCTCCTAAAACATTCCCTTCTTCTCTTACTCATTTATATTGATGGCTGTTCGCATGGTGTGCTGGTAAGTGTTTAGCTTAGAACATTGCTGCCGGAGGTCTACCCCCAGCTCTGCCCTTGCAGTGGAAGAGGTGTCTGGGAGGCAGCTGGTTGGGGAGAGAGAGAGGGAAAAGGGATTGTAGATGAAGCAAATTTCCTCCTCACGTTAACAGGCTCATGAAAAACATACCCTGAATTCCTCGGTGTAAATACTTCCACCAAGGCTGATTCTGAGGGTGTCACATGTTGTCACTGAAGGTGGCATTGGAAGGAGCGGCACACCATTGGCTCTAGTGAACTGGTGTGAGCTGACTTCAGCCAACTGCTGGCTGCACCACTATCCAGGTCACTCAAGCTTGAAACCTAACCTTCAACGTGATTCTCTGCCTTTCCCTTTTCTTCCAACATCCGGCATCAGGAGAAAAGGCTGGGCTTTCCCTCCCACCCAAGCCCTGTGGACAGTCATGGCACACTCATGCAAACATGTCACTAGGAGGTGAGGTCTCAGTCTCCATGGTGTCCATTTGGATTATGGATTCACACTGGGGCTAATAACACCCTCTAAGGGAATTTGGGAAATTGGTGGGGGCATTCCTTATTGTCACACCAAGGGATCATTATGGGCATTAAGAGGATAAGATCCAAGGATGTCCCTCAATGTGCAGAACGGCACTGTCCAAGAAAGAGTTGTTCTTGTTGAGCATGACATTAAAATATTATGCAAGGGTGCAAAATTTGTGCAAAATTTGTTTATAACATTTGAGCCTAGAGCCGAATTCCATTTTACATATAAGCACAGAGTGTTTTGTTTTATAATTTATTTTTTTATTGTACTTTAAGTTCTAGGGTACATGTGCACAACGTGCAGGTTTGTTATATAGATATACATGTGCCATGTTGGTGTGCTGTACCCATTAACTCGTCATTTACATTAGGTATTTCTCCTAATGCTATCCCTCCTCCAGCCCCCCACCCCATGACAGGCCCCGGTGTGTGATGTTCCCCACCCTGTGTCCAGGTGTTCTCAATGTTCAGTTCCCACCTATGAGTGGGAACATGCGGTGTTTGGTTTTCTGTCCTTGAAGCACAGAGTATTTTTGATTGTTTTTTTTATATGCCAACTCAAACGGCTTTTATTCTGGTGTTTGCCCTTACCTTTCTCTTTTGCTTTTCTGTACTTAAATGAATTAGCTTCTAGTCTTATTTTTCCAGAATCCAAATGTACTCATTATATGTATGTGCCAGACAATATAGTTTATTATTTTGGGGATAGCTGTGTTCAAACATCAAACAGACACCATTTTATTATAAATTATTTATAGCTCCTTTAATAAAGTAAGGCATTACATTTATTTTTTGGAATTATGTACTTATATTATCTTTGGATTTTTTGGGAATTTTTTGAGAGGACATAGAAGATAGGACTTTGGAATGTCAAATGCCAGGGGACAGGCAGAAAATCGTTATTCGTCTCTTCTACAAATACTGCAACTCCAAAGCGAAGCCAGTCTGATGCTAGAAACATTAAAAAAAAAAAAAAACTGTGCACATTTGTTCAAAAGAGTATATTTCTAGACCGATAAATGGAGTTTTCTAAGTGTTGCAAATAAAATTCTTGTATAGGAATACTCATATGTCAGAATTAACTTTTTTGTTCCTTTCTGCATCTTTTTAGGCTAATCTGCTTTCATTTGCGTGATTTAAATTATAGCAGCCCAGGTGGGATGATATTAAAAATATCCAACTCTCGGGACAGCCAAGCAACTGCTCTAGAAAGGACTCTGCCAGTGCAGGAAAGAAGGTTCCGGAGCCCCTGCTGGGCCTGAGCTTAAGCTTTTAGTTGCTGGATGGTGCTGAGGTCTATGGGGTCAAAGGTTTGAATGGCTGGGTTGGGAAGGTCATTTAGGGGTTTGGGGCTGTGGATGTTTATCATCCGGCATGGAAAGGTTTCAATGTCTTATCAACAGGGGTGGCTGTACAGGTGCTTACAGGCTGAATCGAACCCCAAGCCCAGATGGTAACATCAAATATAGCACTGAGCTCTCCAGAGAAAGCGGGGTGAGGGATGGGCTATGTCATTATGAATTCCAGGCACTCTGGTGGGGCCTCGTCTGCTAGATCCTGCTCTATGCCCGGGCGTCCCTGACTGCTCCAACATATGTCTGGCTTGGCACTTGCTCTGGTGCCACTGCCCATGACTTCTGAGGACTTAGCTCACTGTCAGGTATTGATTTATGATTTTATTAAAATGTGATCAAAGGTGCACTGGGATGATTAATCACTCCCACCACTACCATCTAAAGCCACTCAGCAGCTGCCAAGTGTCGGGGAGAGACATATGGATCAGCGCTAAGCAGGCCTGGATGCCAGGGCCTCGGCGCAGTCGGGGGCTCCCATCACTCGAGGACGCTGTGGGCAGCCTGGGCTCCCTGGTGCCAGCTCGGCTCAGACCAGCCCTGACTGACAGGCTTTGACCTCTCCAACTGAGCTTCGGCGAGTGTCAAGTTAGATCATATACACCAAGGTGCCAGGATATAATGCAAAGTATTTCTCAATGTTCACGTTTTTACAACAATACAGTTTTTTTTTTAACATCAAAGCAGTTCAGAATAGCACATGGTAGACGTTTAAGAAAATGGTTATTTACAGAAATATCCAAAGACATTTATTTTTCACGTTCAACGTGGTCCCCTTTTTGCTACATTTTAATTTACCCTTTACCAAATGATTCTGTTTTGATTTTTTTCTTTTTTTCTTTCTTTTTTTTTTTTGTGACAGAGTTTCACTCTTGTTGCCCAGGCTGGAGTGCAGTGGTGCCATCTCAGCTCACTGCAACCTCCGCCTCCTGGGTTCAAGTGATTCTCCTGCCTTAGCCTCCTGAGCAGCTGGGACTACAGGTGTACACTATCACGCCCGGCTGATTTTTGTAGTTTTAGTAGAGACGGGGTTTCACAGTGTTGGCCAGGCTGGTCTCGATTTCTTGACCTCGTGATCCGCCCGCCTCGGCCTCCCAAAATGCTGGGATTACAGGTGTGAGCCACCACACCCAGCCCACCAAATGATTCTGAACTCCAGCTTCACGGCCTGCCTTGTGCCTTCTTGGAATATCAGGCTGCTGTGATTGGAACTGGAAGAGGGGATGTGGAGGGGAGGGCTGGTGGAGGAACAGAGCCAAAATTACTGCAGGAATGGGGAGAGGACATACAGTCACTCGGGTACAGATGTCCCCCGCCCGTACCCTCAACTGGAACCTCTGTGAACCCCTTTAAAGGATCGTTAGCCACCTTCTTCCCAACATCCCAACCTCTCTCTAGATATTTTTTTTATTATGGTAAAATACAGATAACACAAAAGTAACCATCTTAGCCACTTTCAAATGTACAGTTGAGTAGTGTTAAGTCCATTCACACGATTGTGCAACCACCACCAGCATCCAGCTCGTGAGCTTTGTCACCTGCAAAACTGAAACCCTGTCCCTGTTAAACATGTCACCCTCTCCCCTCCCACCAGCCCTGGGCGCGCACGATTCTGCTTTCTGTCTGTATGGATTTGATGACTCTGGGGACCTCGTATGAGTGGAATCATGCAGTATTTGTCTTTTTGTGACTGGCTTCTTCCACTTAGCATGACGTCCTCAAGGCATGTGAAGCATGTTGAGGCATGTGAAGCATGTTGAAGCATGTGTCAGAATTTCCTTCCTTGTTAAGGCTGAATCCAGTTCCGTTGCATGGATGGACCACATTTTGTTTATCCATCATCCATTGATAGGCACTTGGGTTGCTTCCATTTTTCAGCTGCTATGATAAGGCTGCTGTGGACATGGGTGCATTTCCTCCGGTTCTAATCACTGAAGAGCACACTTGCCATTTCCAAATCTTTTCAAATATACTACATTTTTCTCCTGGATCCAGTATTATTTCAGTTTCATAAGTACACACCCCTACCCAGGTGCCCTACGTGGAATCAGCTTGGGCCTTGCCTCCACCTCACCTTTGCTCCTGCTCTGTCCCTGCTGAGAAAGGGTCTCCATCCTGCTCTGCCCTCTTCCCGCCCCTCCCTGGTCTCAGTATTTACGTACTTTCCAAAACCCTGGCTTTGCTCCCTGTCTCTAGAACTGCCCAACCCTTGGTTCCATCAGTTAAATCCAGCGTGGCTGGTTTGTTTGCAGGCAGTTCCTTTGGATGTGACTACCTGAGCCTTGGCCCTTCCTTCCCCTTCCAGTAACCACAGCACCCCAGACAACGAAGGCTGAGTTCACAGAACAGAGTTCAGTATTGATGTTAAAGGAAACTTACAATAAAGCTAATCAAACATGTAATCAATTGCATGCACCATGGTTACGATGTAACTTGGGAATTAGGCATGACTGATAAGCAGCTCCGAAGGGACTGTAGTTAGTTTCACTTTGATGCATCCTCTCTGGGCCTCTCCAGAGTCAGTGGGGAGTGCTGTGTGTGTTCGCACACAGGTGCATGTGTGTGCTGGAGGGAGAAAAGAGGATGGGAAAGGGTCATTTGGAGAGGTAGTAAGTCACAGGGCAGATGGGAAGGAGATTTGTGTCTGTGGCCTTGACCTCTAATAGTGGGATGGGGCAGGGAGTATTCCTTCTGCAATTGCTTTCTCTCTCCCACCTTCCACCTGCCCCCTCTCTGCTTTGTGTCCCTGAAACAGTTTCCCATTTTCTTTCTTTTGTTTTTCCTCCTTCTGTCCCTGACCTAAAGAGAACAGGCTGGTGGCCTTAAATCCTGGCAGGACATGCCAAATTTTAGGGTAAGAGGAAGACTCTTTGCTTAAAAATTTCTCTGTGCAGTTGCCTGAAATTCTAGCCACTGATTTACCTGGTCAAGTCCTCTGATGGGGTACACAGGGATATTGAAACCTCGGGGTAGATCATGGGACATTTTAAAACAGTATTCCCAACTTGCAGGCTGAGGAGTTACTGCATGGGGTCTGTGCTTGTCTTACTTTGAATCATTGTCTTGCTCATATTTACCCAATTTTAAAAACATGTGCAAGGTTGCATGAGGATTAGTCAACTCTACATTTAAAGTATTTACTGAGCCCAGTTCTTTATCATTGTGTATATTTAATCAACAGAAACCAAAAGCACGATTACTGTCTCGTGAAGTGTTTTTGCAGTTAAAAAGAGATCTGCCTTTTAAAGCTCATATTCTATTTTTTTCTTTCTTTTTTTTGAGATGGAATCTCACTCTGTCGCCTGGGCTAGAGCGCAGTGGCGCAATCTTGACTTACTGCAACCTCCACCTCCCGGTTCAAGCAATTCTCCTGCCTCAGCCTCCTGAGTAGCTGGGATTACAGGTGCCCACCACTACACTCAGCTAATTTTTTTGTATTTTTAGTAGAGGTGGGCTTTCACCATGTTGGCTGGCTGGGGTGGTCTCGAACTCCTGACCTGGTGATCCACCCACCTCGGCCTCCCAAGGTGTTAGGATTACAGGTGTGAGCCACTGCAGCCGGCCTCATATTCTGTTTTCTTCTTATTGAAGTCCCTTTGTTCTTGTGAAAGCAAACTGCCTTCTGCTCCCTGGACATCCCATCCGCTTTCACCTCTACCCCTTTGCTCATATTTTATTTTACTTCATTTATAAAATCTTATTTATATTTTATCATTTTACATTATATTTTGTAAATGTGATCTTCTATGCATTTCCAGGAGTTGCAATCCAAACAGTCATAAAGGTTGCTTGCCATCTTCCATGAAGCTTTCTCCAACTCCTCAGCCAGAAACACCGTCTCCCTCCTTGTACTCATATAACACAGAGTTTCTTGCTTTGAGTACTTAATACATTTAATCTCAGGTTTTAATTACTTGTGTACTACCTTATCACTCATAGGTATTAGGTACCTCCTCAGCTCATTTGGTTTATTTTTAGAGCCACAACAGATATTGCACACAAATTATGCACTCAGTGCATGTTTTTGAATCATGTTGAATGGAAATGTCAGCAAAAGGCTAGAGAGGTAGCCAATGGACTTGAAATTTTATCACCTAAAATTTTAAATCCTGTTGGTTAAACCCATTATATTAATTAGGCATTCTTGTCCCAACCTTTCCTACTCCCCTTATTGTAATCAAGGATTAGTCATTCCGTGTGTTCCATCCCCAGGGATTTTGCTCGCTGTTGATAACAGTGGGTGCTGAGAGTTAATCAGTGATTTCAGGTCAGTGCCGCAAGCTGAGCTGACACAGGAAAGGCCGTCCTCCTTTTCCAATGCATACACATGGTAGATCAATCAAACAGCCACAACAACTACAACAGTAACAATAAAGGTTTATTTATAGAGCTGAGTTTCTTTCTTTTTTTTTTTTTTTTTTTTTTTTTTTTGCGATGGAGTCTCGCTCTGTCACCCAGGCTGGAGTGCAGTGTCACGATCTCGGCTTACTGCAAGCTCCGCCTTCCGGGTTCACGCCATTCTTCTGCCTCAGCCTCCTGAGTAGCTGGGACTACAGGCACCCGCCACCACACCCAACTAATTTTTTTTTTGGTATTCTTTTAGTAGAGACAGGGTTTCACCATGTTAGCCAGGATGGTCTCGATCTCCTGACCTTGTGATCCACCCACCTCAGCCTCCCAAAGTGCTGGGATTACAGGTGTGAGCCACCGTGCCCGGCCGAGCTGAGTTTCTTAAGACAGAGAAATCCTCAGGCAAAAAGATGAAACACAAAATCAGAATGATGCTTGACTATGGGGGGAGATGGATCTTCACATCTGTGCAGACAGGTAGCTGGGGCCATGGTCAGCGTGCATGAGGACTGGAAGATAGCTAGCTGCATAAATCCACAGGTTACAAAATGCTGCCCCATACGTGAAGTCATGGAAGACTGTTGTCTACTCACTTGGGGAAGCCACAGGGAACCCTGACATTTGGTGAGGTCAAGGGTGAAAAAGAAACCCTGCACTTCCCTGTACTTCACAGGTGTGGTCACCTGAACTCACGCTAAGTACACAGATCAGGGACCCTACGTTGACAAGTAACAGAAGCTGGTCCTGGGTGGGTAGAACCCATGGATCTCTTGGAAAAAGCAAGCATGGACTCCTCTGTGCGGGTGTTTCCATGCACCAGGGCACTCAGAGCACCCACAGGAATGGTCAGCACTGAATGTGAGTTTAAACAAATAGCTAAAAACAAATAAAAGATTCAGCCATTTTTTTTAAAGGAAGAATGGCAAACACAGATGATTTGCTGCCTAACAATGGAAGGTAATAGAATCTTTATAATATATACTTAAAATGTTAAAAGAAATGAATAAAACCATAAAGCAAGAACGTGATATTATAAAACACAATAGGCTTATTTTAAACATAACCAAAAAGTAATTCTGGAAACAAAAGAACGCTTAATGTCAAAAATGCTTGATGTAATTAATAGGAGACAGCTAAACTAAACAATGAATAATAGACAGCTGAAGAGAAAATGTATAAATTAGAAAATAGACCTGAGGAAACCATCCATTATGTGGCACAGATATCTATTAATAAAAACTGCAAATATGAAGAGAAGAGTGGAGGTTACAATGAAAAATGCATTTCTATGTGTAATTGTAGTTCCAGAAGCATGAATACAAAGAATAGGGGAGAAGAAATATTTGAAAAGATAATTGCTGGACTTTTTTGGAATTGAAGCGATACCTAAGTTATAGAGTGATGAAGCACACTGAGTCCAGAACTGGGTAAATAAGAAAAATCCACATTGAAGTACATCATAGTAACATTATAGAACCCACAAGGAAACTGAAGAATGGGAAAGCCTTCTACAAAAGAAGAACAACTAGATTGTAAGCAGAATTCTTATCAGCAACAAGAGGTGCAAGGAGAAAATAGAAAAGCAACAGTGACATGCTGAATGATAACATCTTTCAATCAGGATTTTATACTCAGCTCACTCTCCATTCAAGAGTGAGGGAAAATGAAGGCATTTTCAGATACGTAACAGTTTGCCTTTCATAAATTCTTGCTGAAAAGCAACTAAAGGGCTTGGCGCAGTGGCTCACACCTGTAATCCCAGCACTTTGGGAGGCCGAGGCAGGTGGATCACTTAAGGTCAGGAGTTCAAGACCAGCCTGGCCAACATGGTGAAACCCTGTTTCTACTAAAAATACAAAAATTAGCTGGGTGTGGTGATGTGTGCCAATAGTCCCAGCTACTTGGGAGGCTGAGGCAGGAGAATCGCTTGAACCTGGGAGGCGGAGGTTGCAGTGAGCCGAGATCGTGCCACTGCACTCCAGCCTGGGCGACAGCCAGACTCCATCTCAAAAACAAAAAAGCAACTAAAGAATGCCCATCAACAAAATGATCCATTAGAAAGGAGTAAGGTGTGCAAAGACAATTTGAGTAAAAGCAGAGTTTTTTTTTTTAAGTTCAGGGGTACACGTGCAGGTTTGTTACACAGGTAAACTTGTGTTATGGGGGTCTGTTGTACAGATTATTTCATCCCCCAGGTATTAAGCCCAGTACCCATTAGTTATTTTGCCTGATCCTCTCCCTCCTCCCACCCTCCACCCTCTGATAGGCCCCAGTATGTGTTGTTCCCCTCTACGTGTCCATGTGTTCTCATCATTTAGCTCCTACTTATAAGTGAGCACATGCAGTATTTGGTTTTCTGTTCCTGTGTTGGTTTGCTAAGGATAATATCATTAAGTATTTATTTTTTTAAAAAAGAATTATTTGGAAATAAAAAAGGTAGTACTAAAATATTGAACAAAAACCATGGTAGGTAGCCGGCAGAAGATTGAAGATGAGTTCTAAGACATTTACATTTTGGGGGAAGCGAGAGGAATTGCTTAGTTTTAGACTTTAGGTGTACATATTAAACATGTAAAGGAACCACTGACAGAATAAAAATGGAATGTATTCTTTCTAAACTTCTAATTAGTAGTGGAACAATTCAGGGCAGGAGAGGTGGAAAAAAGTAAGTGTGGCACTAATAGGTCCAAATATCGAATACTCAAAAAGAAAAAGAGTTAATTCACGTATTAAAAACATTCATATGGATTAGTAGATAGCAATGAAATGCTATGAGCTAGATTAACATGTATCAAATTGCAGAGTAATATGTACAATTGATAAAACATGTAATTTACTTATTTATTTTTTATCCTCCCAGTTGTGACAACTGATGTATAATTTAAAAAATAAAGAAATGTGTAGTAAAAATATGTAAAATTGGCTAAAATATACACAAATTCATCATGGTAATTACCTCTGGGGAGGGAAGGAGAATAATGAGATGCAGGAGGAGAAAGATGATTTTAATTTTACACGTAGTTTTCTTTTATACAAAATATTCTGAAATGAACCTGAAAAAGTTAATTGGCTTAGTTAATCCTTGCTTTCTAGCCAGTTTCCAGTATGTTACTCTTAGGATATACTTTTTTGTTTTTTGAGATGCAGTTTCCCTCTTTTGTCCAGGCTGGAGTGCAGTGGCACAATCTCCGCTCACTGCAACCTCCATCTCCTGGGTTCAAGCCAGTCTCCTGCCTCAGCTTCCCGAGTGGCTGGCATTACAGCTGCATGCCACCACGCCTGGCTAATTTTTTTTTTTTCTGTATTTTTAGTTGAGATGAGGTTTCGCCATGTTGGCCAGGCTGGTCTTGAACTCCTGACCTCAAGGGATCCACCCGCATCTGCCTCCCAAAGTGCTGGGATTACAGGCATGACCCACCGTGCCTGGGCAAGATATACTAAATTTTTATTCAGCTAAAATACACATCTCCGAAGACCCATTAACTAGGTAAGTTTAATGATGGGAACTCAGGGCTTGTGGCAGCCCAGAGAGACAGGTAGTTTTTGGCAGGAAACCTTTCAGCAGCATGGTGGGGAAGTGAACGGGGTCATGCAGAAGGACACCTGGGACATCTAGCACCAGAGCGACGGTCCCTGTCTGCCACCAGGAGCAGGTGGGGAGGCAGCCACATCATTATCTACACGGTATTGACACCTGTGCTTCCTCCCACAAAGCCGCTGCCGGGAGGTGAGGGGGCTGGCTTCCTCTAGGCATGAACACCTGGGTACATGGCTTCCTGGGAGTCCTTTTGGCCAGTTCTGAGGGAGAGGGTTTGCTCAATGTGAGAATGATGATGTGACAATATTGCACTCTCATGCCACTCACAGCAGTGGGGTTGAGAGAGCCGCCTGGATAAACACGTATCTGTTCTCTAACACAGCCCAGAACTGCAGCTCTGGAACTCATGTGAGTCCACATCAGTCTCTTGTGGTGCTGGACTGGAGTCAGAATAGTAACACCTGGTAGGTGCCAAGTAAAAAGCAGTTTCTTCCATTCAGATTTAATCAAAATCCTCTTGCTGCAATATTCTCTCCACAAAAGTGATGGGAAACAGCTTGCCTGTCCCATCCTGTTCTTCAATATTTTAAATCACACTCATCCCACATTTTCCCTCATCGTCCAGCTGTGACCCAGTGGGTGAGCTCAGCACAGCCCTGGAATGCACTGAAGAGTAGACTGGAAGTTGGCAGAAGTGGATTCTAAGCCACCGACCTCCTGTGTAGTCACTAGCTGTGTGACCTTGGATGCGTCATTTCCACCTTGCTGGGCCTCACTTTCCTCACCTGTACAACCATCTAAAATTTGATGGCAATGTCTTGGCTTTAGATCTGGAGTCTTTGTGCCACGACTTGGCTGATATTTATCAGCCTCATTAAACAAATGAGTGGGAAGTGAACAGAAAGGATCATGACAAACAATGGCTGTGTGTGGAGGACACCGTGGGATGTCACTTGCTGTGCTTTCTCAGTCCTGAATCTCCCTATCTGCCATCTCCCTGCCTATGAATAGCAGTGCATCACATATACGCTGCCACAATTCTAGGGGTGCAAACTGATGCCATCTCCTTATGTCTTGTCTTGTTTTTCCCACGGTCCCCCCCTGACTTCATGACTTAACAGATCTACTAATTAAATATATGTTCTTCTTCTAACAAAATAGATTGTCCTTTATTTCAGTACAATCTAACAAGGAAGGAATGCAAACATGAAGCTCGTAGGAAGAACAGTAGATTTTATCAGTCTGTCTTTCTATTAGTAGGATTACTATGTATAAGATATAACCTATCTACAAGAGACAGCTTGATAAATTTTGCGTGTGTGTGTGTGTGTGTGTGTGTGTGTGTGTGTTCACCACCCAGGTCAACATTCAAAAATACTTCCAAAGCTTCAAAAGGCCCCTTCGTGCTTTTTCCCTGGGTAATGTCTTCCCATAAAATTAACCATCATTCTGAATTCTACTCCCATAGAGTAGTCTTATCTGTTCTTGAACTTCAAATAAGTGGAGTCTTATAGTGTATAGTCTTTTGTCTGGCTTCTTTGTCCCATCATTGTCTTTGAGATTCATGCAGGTGGTTGTGTACAGCGGTAGTTCATTTTTACACTATCACCATTGTAACCATCTATTGCCTGTGTTATCCTTTCTGCTATTGATGGGCATTTAAGGAGTTTCTACTTTTGGCCTTTTATAAATGTAGCTGCGAGCATTAGTGTGTGTCTTTTGGTGGACACATGCAATAAGGATTGGGGTACATACCTAGCAGTAGAATTGCTGAGTCATAGGGTAATTGCCTCTGAGGCTTTTGTAAATACTATCAGTTCTACATTTCCACCAGGAATGTATGCAACTTCTACTTTCTCCCCAAGCTCACCAACACTTGGTATTATTCGTTTTTTAATTTTGGCTATAATTATAATAATAATAATTATTATTTGTAGAGATGAGATCTTGCTTTGTTGCCCAGGCTGGTCTCCAATTCTTGGCCTCAAGCAATCCTCCTGCCTTGACCTCTCATGGATGACAGATTTGAGCCACCACAGCCTGCCTAATTTTAGCCATTATGATGGGTGTGTAGCAATATCTCTTTGAGGCTTTTGGTTGCATTTTCATGATGAGTAATGACGTTTTGCCTTTGTCCATATGCTTATTTGTCATTTGCATGTCCTTTTTCATGAACTGTCTACTCAAGTCTATTGCCTATTTCTAATTGGCTTGTCTTTGTCTTATCAATTTGCAGGAGTTCTTGACATATTTGAGATATGAGTTCTCTGTCAGGTCTGTGTATTATGAATATCTCCCCCTCTTTTGCAAAGTAAATATTTTCCTATTTGTCTTCTCCTTTTGCTGCTGGATTGAAATGCCCTTATTAATATGGAAAATTCTACCCATCTTAGGAACTTGCAGGACTGTATGAGAGGCTACTTGCCTTGCTACTGTGATTTGTCCTTTCACAATCTATTTTTTTTTTTTTTTGAGACAGAGTCTCACTCTGTCACCCAGGCTGGAGTGCGGTGGTACAATCTCAGCTCACTGCAAGCTCTGCCTCTGGGGTTCAAGTAAATCTCTTGCCTCAGCCAATGGAGTAGCTGGGACTACAGGCACACACCACCACACCTGGCTAATTTTTGTATTTTTAGTGGAGACGGGGTTTCACCATGTTGGCCAGGCTGGTCTCGAACTCCTGACCTCGTGATCCACCCCCACCCCACCCCCCAGCCTCCTAAAATGCTGGGATTACAGGTGTGAGCCACTGCGTCCGGCCTCCTTTCACAATCTTAATCATGCCTCTTTATGGACAGCAGTTTTGAATGGTCATGAAGTCAATTTATCCGCTCTGAATTTCTGGCTGGTGCCTTTTCTGCTATGTTTAAGAATTTGTTTCCCCCTATGTCATGAATCTAGTCTATGCATTTATCTAAAAGTTTTATTTGTTTCACCTTTCACAGGTCTGTGATCCATGTCTAATAAATTTTTGAGTATGGTATGAGAGAGGGGTCAGGATTCATTTTTTTCCATACAAATATCCAATTGATCTCACCCATTTATAAAGAGGACCATCCTTTTCTGCCCCTCACTCAACTGCAGTGGTGTCTTTGTTGCCAATCAGATGTGTGGGAGAGGTTTCTTGCTGTGCAATACTCTAAGAGAAGTACCTTCTCCTCAGTCCTAAATGTACCCCAGGATTTTTCTATATTAATAAGAGCATTCCAATCTAGAAGCAAATGGAAGGAAAAACATTTACTTTGCATCTGATCACTTAATAAAAGAAAAAGACTATGAATAATGGACCAACTCATTTCATGAAGATAAAAACTGAGCCCACAGATGCTTCAATATTACAATTTAATTAAACCCAGTAAGCACTGATTCTGTCCACTGGCTGCTGGCTGTGAGCTCAATTTTTTTTTTTTTTTTTTTTTGAGACAAGGTCTTGCTCTGTCACCCAGGCTGGAGTGCAGTGGTGCAGGCTCAGCTCACTGCAACATCTGATTCCTGGGCTCAAGTGATCCTCCCATCTCAGCCTCCCCAGTAGCTGGGACTACAGGCATGTACTACCACATTTGGCTAATTTTTAAGTTTTTTGTAGAGATAGAGTCTTGCTGTGTTGCCCAGGCTTGTCTCGAACTTCTAGGATCAAGCGATCCTCCTGCCTCGGTCTCCCAAAGTGCTGGGATTACAGGCATGAGCCACCCCTTGGCCAGAAAAGATATTCCATTGACTGTGATCTCCACGAGGGTCCTGGAGTTGATCAACATTATCTAAATAAAGGGAATTTTTTTCTCAAGAAGTTCTTGCTCTTCTCATGAAATCCATCCTAAGCTAAGGACATGGGGAGGGCAATGGAGGAGAATAGGATTTGTTCCCAGGAACAAAAGTTGCCAGGGGCACAGACAACCACATGCTGCTCCTCACCGAGACGGGAAGGCAGATCCCAGCCCGAGGTGGGAGGAGCCAGCAGGATCTGGCAGGGATGTCACCATGAGTTGCTGTTTGTGTCTGTTGCCTGAACTTCTTGAAGTCCCACTCACAGCCTGGCCAAAACTGCCCACTAGGGACTCTCTCCTCACCTGTAAAGTCTGTCCTGCAGATACATTCTCTGAGTCCTTCGGTTTGGTTTTGTGCCTTCATCATCTGCTTGTGGGCTGCTATGTTTGGCACTGACCCACACAGGCAGTGAGACTCTCAGAGGGGCCCCACCTGCTGCCAAGAGGCTCCTGACAGGGGCTGAGTGCCTTTGCTCTAGGTTCCAGAGCATCTGTCAAGCCCCTTATCTGTGTATGGCTTGAGCTGACCACCAGCACTGTTGTCCTTCACCCCATTAACTGATGGCATCGGAAGCCAAGGCTATGCTCCAGTGGGCATGGTTCATCCTTGGTGTGGAAATCAGGAGCATCCTGGGAACATCTGCACAGGCCAACAGGCTCCCGTGAGATGGGCATTTCACCCAGGGATCCTGAGGTCCCTTTGTTGTCGCCCTCAGAAGCCTTTGCAGTGGCTAAGAACTGGCTATTACTTCAGTTAAGTTTTCACAAAGCTACTTCATACAGTAGGTTGACAATAGTTACCCTTTTTTATGTTCACCTTAAATTATGCTCAGTTATTAGATTAGTCTACATAAGCGAAGCTGTGCTGGAGTTAACAACAACAACAAATTCCAGAATCTCCACTGCTTAACACAACACCAATGTATTTGCCTTTCCCAAAAAATTCTCCATGAGAGTGGGAGAAGCCCAGGGCAGCTGTCCTCTGGGGCTGCAGTCTTGCTCCACCAATGCAGCATGGGGTCCTGTGTTCCTGGTGGAGGGGATGACAAGAAGGCTCAAGGGGCATAGTGTCAGTTGGAAGCCACAAATGTCACTATGGCTCATGGTTCACTGGCTAGAAGTGGTCCCATGGCCCTGCTTAGCTGCAAGGGGTCTGGGAAGTACAGTCTTCCTGGAACCTAGGGTGGAGAGAATTGGATACTGATGGCCAGCAGTGTTGGCTACAACAGCCATGTTGTCCATCAAGCTCTAGACATTGACATGGCCCAGGCGATGCACAACATCTCATGTAAAACCCACTAGTTCTGGGTGGTTTGCTGCCACCCATAACATTGAACACGCCCATTGTATAGCCCAGGCCTTGTTCCATGAAGTGACTTTGTCTCCTGAAATGAGCCCCTTCTTCCCACAAAATTTTTGCCTCTCCCATTTTCTTTAATTCATGATTCTATTTGTTTCAGCCAGAGGAATGTTTCTCAGATCTCTGGGTAGAGTCTGGGTTCCTTGTGCAGCAATCGTAGCCCCATGAACTGGTGTATAAATCAGACTCTGAACTTAAATTACTTCAATCCCAAGTCTTCTGTGCATTATTGTTAGGGCCCTCTGGTTAGAGCTGTATGATGCCGTTGACTTCAAGATCATTAATGCACACCCCTTAGATTTTCCAACCTAAAATTAAAGCAGTGCTTAGTTGATTGAAAAAATGCAATACTGCTGCAAATTAGGGAGATACCTTGCCTTCCCTTCTTGAGTGTTTTGTGAGTTTTGTATCTGAAATTTCAAATGCCTAGGGAGGTTTGCAGAGCCTCGCAGTCACTACAGAAGTAGAGTTTTGGTTGTGACCTGGCAACCGTGCAGCAGGCTGAGAAAACAGGATGAGTTGCTTCTCTACCTCCTAGGCTAGGTTCATCTGTGCGGAATTCGTTCAGCCCCACTGCGAGGAGGCAGGGGTGATGCATGCTGGAGACTGTCCTAGAGAGCACATCCCAGCGTGGGGTTCTTTTTAAGAGTAATTGAGGAAGAGACATATTCGGTAAGATTTCACAAGAGGCCTCAGGGAATAGTGGAATAAATCCTCCAGAAAACATTGATCACACCTGACCCCTTTCCTCGTAGTGTTTTGAGAAAAGGATGGTGATTCCTTCTGCAGAACCTGTCATTTTCTGTTCTCCCGCACTTTCCTTCATTGCTCCTTCTGAAGGAGATGATGCCTTGGAGCTTTTTAAAATGCCAGATTATTGCTGTAAAATGTAATGCAATACAAGGACAGATCAAATTTATGGAATGCCTTTTATGAGACTATCCCAAAGGGCTCTGTATAATGGCTATAAAATTGTGAAACACGTTGTGGAACAGATTTAATTTTTAAAGCAGCTGAAAATATCTATTAATGATTTACCATCATTATTCCTCATCAGAGGTCTTTAGGAATACTAATAAAATGACTCTACCTACAATTATTTCCATCCGAGTGTTTCTTCGTGGAATTCAATCTGAGCTTATAGCATGAAATTGGCCAATCAAAATAATGTTCTGGAGGAAAAAAAAAACTGGAATTGTTTCAGCTGAAGAGCCCTCTGATTTTGTCATTTTTTCCCTCCCCATGCCTTTACCAGCTGTTCACCTTCACCTTGGCTTTTCTCAGTTTTGACTTGCTCACAATTATGCATTGCCCACACGTTAGGGTGAAATAAATTTGATGGACATTTGTTGGCCCTTGGGTTCTTGTGGGACAAGACAGGTGGGTCTAGGATTATTGTGTACTGTGCCATATCCCAGTCCTATCCATTTTTTTTTTTTTTGAGAAGGAGTTTCACTCTTGTTCCCCAGGCTGGAGTGCAATGGTGCGATCTCTGCTCACCACAATCTCTGCCTCCTGGGTTCAAGTGATTCTCCTGCCTCAGCCTCCTGAGTAGCTGGGATTACAGGCATGCACCACCATACCCAGCTAATTTTGTATTTTTCAGTAGAGACGGGGTTTCTCCACGTTGGTCAGGCTGGTCTCGACCTCAGGTGATCCGCCCATCTTGGCCTCCCAAAGTGCTGGGATTACAGGCGTGAGCCACCATGCCTAGCCTCCTACCCGTTCTTGAAGATGCAACTCAAGGCCCTAGCCTTATTGAGTAGAAGTTGTGATTGCGTCCCCAGCTTTCATTCCACCTCCCCCCATTGCTTCTCTGCCATGCCGTTTGGAAATCATTGACTTCACACCCAGCCCCTGCACATGGGAGCCTGGACTGGTCCCTCTGTGTGTTAACAGCATCTCCCCTGCCGGAATACTGCGCACCTGACGTGGACCTAGACGATCACCACATGGTATTTCCCACCACAGGCACTGGTTCAGGTGTGATCCATTCAGAGCGTAGGTCAGGAATTTTGTTCCACAAGTTGGGAGGCTACACTCTCTCCTTCTGAATATGCCCCGGGAAGCCTGCTGCCCTCATTGCTGCCAGCAGCCAATTTGTGTCCATGAGGCAAGCCCATCCGCAGATAGAATGGCACTCAGAGGGGGCAAAGCCAAGATGATCACAGAGCAGGTGAGACAGAAATCTCGTTGAACCATACCGAAAATCCTATCTGCTGCTGGCTTTACACAGCTCAATAAACCAATTAAATCACTTAAGTGAGTTGGAGCTGTATGTTCTCTTATGTGTGTTCCAGAGTCCTTGGAGTCCTTGGAAGCTCCTGTCCCAGTGCCTGTTTCCGTGCTGGGCATGTGGATAACTGAATACAAGGAAAGCTGCGGAAGGGTGATTATGTGGTCACAGGATGAAGCGTCTCCCCAATCACTGCTCAGAGAAGACCACTGCCCAGTGTCCTTTAGAGCCTGGACATCTCAGGCCCAGTTGAGACAAGCATTGTTCCAGGGGGTCCAAGCTGATAAGAAGGACACAGAATCAGGGTAGTTTTTAGATTAGTGGCAATATTTTAAGGTTAAATAGATGATCACGTAGTGCAATTCGACTGTCTGCCTGGATTCCAGCCAACAAATCAATCACCCCAGGCAGACTGAATATTGGACCCAAGAGAGAAAGGAAAATTTGGCCAGACGCGGTGGCTCACGCCTGTAGTCCCGGCACTTTGGGAGGCTGAGGCGGTTGGATCACCTGACGTCAGGAGTTCGAGACCAGCCTGGCCAACATGGTGAACCCCGCCCCCTACTAAAAATACAAAACGTTAGCTGGGCATGGTGGCAGGCGCTGGTAATCCCAGCTACGCAGGAGGCTGAGGCAGGAGAATTGCTTGAGCCTGGGAGGTGGAGGTTGCAGTCAGCTGAGATCACGCCATTGCACTCCAGCCTGGGCAACAAGAGTAAAACTCTGTCTCAAAAGAAAAAAAAAAAAAAAAGGAAAATTCAGGTACCTACTTGCTGGGAAGAAAGGGGTCCTATGCTCCTGCTTGCCATGGACAGCATTTGCTCAGAAACTATAGTTGGCTGAGCCTTTGGGGTGGCTGCCTTTGTGCCCACAGCTGGTCAGTATGGGAGATGGCAGGGCTCACCGATTCAGTGCAACAAGCGCTTCTTGGGCACCTGTGCTGTGTGGGGAATACAGAAAGGCATATCCTTGAGAAAGTCATGATGGGGCTTCTGAGTGAGAAAAAAAAGAGAACAGAAGGAGACAGATCACAGAGCCTCCTTCCTTCAACACACACAAAATAAATATATAAATAAAAGTCAGCAATGAGGTGGGGACTGGGGGGTCATGCTTCAGGCCATAAGCCTGGAAAAGTGACCTCTAAGGTAGGGAAAAATAATACCATAAGAAGCAACATAAAATTTTCATGAGTGGCTCAAGCTGTAAAAGGTCTTAATAATAACAGGTATTGGATAGTGTTCAATCAGAGATGTGACTGGCCTGGAGGAAGGAACTTAGTATAGGAGGCAGATCTGGTGCAACCGTGGAGCTCCTTAGGCCATCTGGGGGAGGCTGTTGCCTCTGCATCTGCCGCTGGGCCTGAGGCTGTCCAGCAGGAAGGAAAGATGGACAGGGAGGCTGAGCAGCCTGGAACCGCACCTGCCTCTCACCCCTCTCATAGCGATGACGTGGCCACCTGCAGGAGGGGCTGCACGTGCCCCCAGCCCCAGATGTCACAGGCTGAAGGTGGTGTCCCAGCATGCGCTGCCCTGTGGCAGGTGAGCCAGAGGGGTCACAGACGACAGGCATGAGCCCCAGCAGTACCTGCCCTGAGCTCCCTTGCAGAGCATGGCAGTGGCTGCACTAGCACGCCCCCTCCAAGTCTCTTTGAGCTCTCTTCTGGCCAGTCCCAACCCAAAACCAAAAGGGAAGGGATGTCAGGGAAATGTAGGCCCCACAACTAAATAGACATATTCTGAAACAAGAACTCAAGGCAACAACAGTCACATGGCATGGTAAGACTAAAAGGATGTGGCAAGCTGAGAACAAAGATTTAGAGCGAGAACACCCTTTCAGCCATGGGCAGAAAGGGCCTCGAGACAGAGAAGAATGATGTCTGGTCTCAGTGTCTTCTGAATCTCCAAAATATCTGGCACAGAGTTGCTCACAGGTAGGTGGTCAACGTGTGCCAGGTAACCAAGAAATCACCTCTCTGGGCTGGATGAATCCAGGTAATTACAGGGCCTCATGGCAGGCACCCCGGCTCCAGCCACCACCTATGTGTGGGTGCTATTGACCTCTCTGGGATGTGGCCCTCCCGGATGCAGCCACTATCATCCTTCCATGACACTCCCACCATTCCCTCACCCTACATCTGCTTGTCATTGTAGAGTGGGTCCCTTTGGGGTTGCAGACTAGAGTGCGATAGGATCTACATTCTAGTCCTGGCTTTGACCCTGACCTGTTGTGACCCTGATGTGAGAGGGCCTTCCGTCTTTTCCAGTCCTGAAGCTCCTGCATTCCACGGTTCGCTGCTCTTTGGAGGAAGGGTGCCCGGCAAGCTCAGCGGAGGCCTCTCCTGTCCAGGGGGTTCTCACTGTCCAGGCTGTGGTTTTATAGTGGCCGTAAATGCAACACACAGGGGCCGCGTGGTCTGCAGCACTGGTCACCAAGGTGCATTTTCTCCACTGTGTTTCCATGTCACCCTTTCCCTTCCTTCCAGTTTTATAGCCCCGTAGCTTTCCTGGGACACCACTCCCTCGGCAGTCTCTAGTGAAATGTCGGAGCTGCTTGCTGCTCAAAATCCATGCATCTAGTTTGACAGACACAGAGCAGAGACATTGCAACAAAAATGATCAGCTCGAGTGGGCACTCCTCCATCATCTTCTAGTCCCCGTGTGGTTCAGTCTCCACTTCTAGGGGTGAGAGAAGGCAGAAAGCAGGCCTAATTCAGGAGACAAGAGACCTGGGTTCTCCTCAGTGCTCTGCCTGGAACTTGCTATGTGACCTTGGGCAAGTCAGTTAATTTCTCTGGTTCTCATATTTGTAAAATGAGGTTTTAGATTGGGATTCCTTCTAAACTCCTTTCCAGCTTTTATATTCAATAATTTATGAGTTGCAAAAGTTTCAAAGCTACAGAAAGCTTAATCCTTTTTGACTGATTTCATTAATACAAATGAAGGAAGAGACCCTGGCAGTTTAGGAAAAGCATCCAAGAAGCTAGAGCACTGCTCTTTTGTGCTGATGACTTTGGGGATCCTAGGGAGGGAAAGCTCCTTATTGCTTAATCCTTATCTCTCCAACAAGCTAAACTCAAAGTCCTTTAATCAAATCTAATAAGCTCAGCTAGGCTTTGGAATGGAGCTGGGAAATGACTAATGTGTTTTCTGTCCATCCAGAGTTATTCACTTGGTCTTTGTTGTAAGTGTGTTCCCAGGTGATGCCAGGAATGACAGTGACAGAGGGAAGCAAATGCGAATTTTATTTTATTTTATTTTATTTTTATTTTTAGTTTTAGTTTTTTTGAGATGGAGTCTCGCTCTGTCACCCAGGCTGGAGTGCAGTGGCACAATCTCAGCTCACTGCAAACTCCGCCTCCTGGGTACACGCCATTCTCCTGCCTCAGCCTTCCGAGTAGCTGGGACTACAGGTGCCCACCACCACGCCTAGCTAATTTTTTTTTGGTATTTTTAGTAGAGACGGGGTTTCACCGTGTTAGCCAGGATGGTCTCGATCTCCTGACCTCGTGATCCACCCGCCTCAGCCTCCCAAAGTGCTGGGATTACACGCATGAACCACCGAGCCTGGCCAATTTAGAACTTTTTAATGAAGAAAGACACATCTTTCTGCCTCTATGATGCCAACTTCTACATTGCTTAGACAAATAGTTCCAAAATCTCAAAATTGTAGACTTTTTTTGTTTTAGTCTGCTTACTAAGTGATTTGGGAGCACACGTTGACTGCTTTGTCAGAGAAATTCCTCATTCAAAAAACAAAATGAAAGACAGACCCCCAAAATCCCACAACCGCTCTAAATTACAGTCTTTAAAAATAGATACAAACTTAGTCTAACTCTGTCTCTCTTTCTCTCTCTAAAAGTTCATCTCTGCCTCTCAGTAATGTATTTTCTTTCTAGAAAAAATTTCATCTATCTCCTCCAAGGTTTTACATCACAGAGATCTTGGGGCCACTGACTTGTCTTACACCAGTGTTGCTGATAAGAAGGTGCTGTGATGGTTAATTTTATGTGTTGTTTGACTGGGCTACAGAGGGCCCAGACTGTTGGTCAAAAATTGTTCTGTGTGTGTCTGCGAGGGTGATTCTGGATGAGATTAACGTTTGAACAGGTAGGCCGAGTAAGGCAGAGTGGGTGGGCTTCATTTAATCAGGTGAAGGCCTAAACAGGACAAAGAAAGCTAAAAAAGCATGAGTTTCTCCTGCCTGCCTGCCTGCCTGCTTTTGAGCTGGGACATCCATTCTTTCCTGTCTTCAAACTCAAGCCAAAACATCAACTATTCTTGGGTCTCGACCCTGCAGCTACACTGTCAGCTCTCCTGGGTCTCCAGCTTGTAGACTCAGCCTGCAGATCTTGGGACTTTTTGTCCTCCATAATCATATGAGTTGATTCCTTATAGTAGTAAATCTCTCTCTCTTCCTTTCCATATGGACAGTAATGTATTTTCTTTCTAGAAAAAATTTTATCATTTTTTCATATGTCCATATGGAAAATTTTTATCAATTTTCCATATGGACAGGGAGAGAGAGAGAGATTTACTACCATAGGAAATTGGCATGCATATATATATATATATATGCATGCTGTTTTTTCACATGTATATGGAGAGAGAGAGTGACAGAGATTTACTCATATATATGTTGGGAATTGGCCCATATATATAGATATATGTTCTGTTTCTCCACATATATATGGGTATGTATATATGTGTGTGTGTGGTGTGTGTGTGTGTGTGTGTGTGTGTGTATATATATATGTGTGTGTGTATATAGGTTCTGTTTCTGCAGGGAACCCTGACTAATGCAAGCCCCTTGTATTTTAGTTGCTTGAGTCTCCTACAGGAGGGTCAAGTTAGCCCATTTTCTACTTCTGAGTTCTGCTCTGTAGGGAAAAGTGTCATAACTAAGGCTGAGTGTGTACTTGGGGACTCCAGGGTTGATAGAAGCATTGGCTAGTGTTTCCGTTTGCATACCAATTGAGTAAAATGAAGACTTACCAACAGTTTGGAAACCCTCCGATGCTCCTACAGGGCCCCTGAAGAGCCATTTTCAACAGTGATGAATGTGCTGCTTCAATAGGAAGACTTCACTCCTGCAGCTGTCAATCAACTCTGCACCAAGGCCCCTGTGTTCGGGGCAATGTCGGTGTAACTGCTATCCTTCCAGTTTCCTGATGTTTTCCTGTGCTTCAGAATTCAGTCTACTCCAAGTTACAAGGGTGCCAAAGCCATGTGAATGACAGCCTTAACACGTGGCCAGCTGTCCCCTGTGCTTCATGCAACCACATGCTGGAGCAGAGAGGTTAAGTGCTGGGCACTTTCCTTCTCCTAGGGCGATCACAGTCAGCAACGGAGATTCATGGCAGCCATTTTGGGCTCTTGTTGCATCGTTTGTCATGAAAATGAGGTATTAGAATTTCAGTGCCTAATATGCTTCGTGAGTTATAGCGGAGAGGAGAGCTGTGCCTTTGGTATTTCCGATAATATGTAGCTTTGTCAAAAGCTGATGGCGAACGATCAGTTCAAACGTGCCTTGGAAAAGCACACTCTTCATGTCAAACGGCTTACATTGTGGAAAAAAATTACCATCTGTCAAAATGCGGATGGGAAGAAGCTCGCACGCCTAGAGGAAGCCATTTTCACCCTCAGAAAGTTCTTTTAAGGTGACATCTCGATGACGGGCAGGGGCCCTCCATGGCAGCCTGAGTGACAGCAGCCTGGCTGCGGCTTTCTGACTGCAGGTGCCCCACTCAGGGCTGGTGCTCCCAGGAGCCCAGGCCTGGCCCTGCGTGTAGGAGAAAGCAGCTGTCTAGAAGGAGCTGTTTTAAAGTTCCCCACGGAACATCAGTTTACCTAAAACTATTTCCTACCCACCCAGAATCGTGCTCAGGATGGTCACCGTTTGATTTATGTTGTAGGAGCCATCTGGAGATCGATGCATTTAACTAAATTAAACTTCTATCCTCCCAGGAAAAGAATATACATTCACCAGCTTGTGGGGCTCTTGTAAAGGGAAAAACTAGGGCCAATTGTTGAGAGCTCTAGGGAGGAAGATTTTAATTCAGTTAGGACCCAAAATGGAAAGGGTTCTTGACAAAGAACTCCCTGATGCTGGGCACATTCTGATAATGGCCATAGCGGATGGGAAGTGGGGTCAGGTGGGCACTAGGGTTCTTTTTGACTCAGACGGTCTATAATTTTATAATGAAGAATGGGGAGCACAAGGGGATTCTCTTCTTTTTTTTTCTGTTTATTTTTTTTTGAGCTGGAGTCTCAATCTGTCACCCAGTGGCTCCATCTTGACTCACTGCAACCTCTGCCTCCCAGGTTCAACTGATTCTCCTGCCTCAGCCACCCAAGTATCTGGGATTACAGATGTGTGCCACCACGCCCGGGTAATTTTTGTATTTTTAGTAGAGACGAGGTTTCTCCACGTTGGCCAGGCTGGTCTCAAACTCCTGGCCTCAAGTGATCCATCTGCCTGGGCCTCCCAAAGTGCCGGGATTACAGGCATGAGCCACTGCTCCCAGCCTCTTCTTTGGAAAGCCAATTAATAATGTTAGTAGATGACTGGGCAGGAAAATCTAGGCCTGGTCCTGTTCCATAGATTCCCCTGGGTGATCCACATCACTTCTCTAGTTTCCATCTATTAAATAAATGGACTGTTCTCAGTCTCCGGGGGCACTTCCCATTCTGATATCCCACAGTTCTCTGAGCCTGGTTAAGTCATGTAGAATCCTTCTGATTACGTTAGAATGGCAGAATAATAATATAGCACCAGAGTGAAGAGAGGGCAAGCTTTGTACCAATTCTAAGTGATTGGTCGTGGCTACTTAGAACACTGCTCCAAAGAAGGATTGGAGGCTAAGTTCAGAGATGACTGGGAGGTATTTCCATAAATAGTGAGGGGCATCTGCCAACGGGGGTGGTGTGGGGAAATGCTGACGATGAACCATGACAGTTCACCATCCTGCAGCAGATCCTTGGAAATTCAGCTTCCCCTGTTTCGACCATCACAGGTGATCGATGGCCCATGACATGGCCAGGAAGAGGGAGTGTCTGAAGTAGGCTGAGAGGCTGAGTGAGGGCTGCTGGTCACAGGCAGGAAGATCTCCGAGGCCTTGGGCCTGGAACTGCAGCTCTGAGCTCATTGCCTGGGACTGTAGCTTCTTCCTCACCATAAGACATTGTTGTTCTCTCTTTATCATGTCTGAAGTTATTCTTTAAGCCTTTCAGGTGCATTTTATTCCATTTTATGGGGGAAATAACTGATTTTGAAGATCTGAGAAGGCTTCTGGAAAAAAATCACTCATAAATGTTGAGAGTGCATTGTAGAAAGCCTTCCCTACAGCACAGAAATGTTTAAAGCATGAACTGAGCGGCTGGGCATGGTGGCTCACGGGAGGCTGAGGTGGGTGGATCATCTGAGGTCAGGAGTTTGAGACCAGCCTGGCCAACATGATGAAACCTCGTCTCTATTACAAATACAAAAATTAGCTGGGCGTGGTGGTGTGCGCCTGTAATCCCAGCTACTTGGGAGACTGAGGCAGGAGAATTGCTTGAACCCAGCAGGTGGAGGTTGCAGTGAGCCAAGATTGCGCCATTGCACTCTAGCCTGGGTGACAGAGTGAGACTCTGTCTCAAAAAAAACAAAGAAACAAAACAAAAAAAAAAACAACCATGAAGTGAAATAAGGCATATAAAAGTGCTGTCTGAGGTACAAAGCTGCACCACTGTAATGCATCATTAATATTATTAATAATAATTTGCCCTTCATCTCTTCAAAAGTGGTATGTAAACACATTAGCAAGATGTAACTTCAATCAAGCAGTCCATGTTAACAATAGGAAGACTGATAGAGAATTAATGTCTGAAGAAACAGGCCAGGCACGGTGGCTCACACCTATAATCCCAGCACTTTGGGAGGCGGAGGTGGGCAGATCACCTGAGGTCAGGAGTTCAAGACCAGACTGGCCAACATGGTGAAACCCTGTCTCTACTAAAAATGCCAAAATTATCTGGGCATGGTGGCGCATGCCTGTAATCCCAGCTACTTGGGAGGCTGAGGCAGGAGAATCGCTTGAACCAGGGAGGTGGAGGTTGCAGTGAGCTGAGATCGTGCCACTGCACTCCGGCCTGGGTGACAAGAGCAAAATTCCATCTCAAAAAAAAAAAAAAAGTCTGAAGAAACAGATATAAATTGGAGAAAAACAAAGGAACATAAATCCCTCAGAGGTGCACTATGCATCCTTTATGTGCCTTTTATCTCCTTTTATTTATTA
The DNA here is from genome assembly GCF_000001405.40 of Homo sapiens. Lineage (NCBI taxonomy): Eukaryota > Metazoa > Chordata > Mammalia > Primates > Hominidae > Homo > Homo sapiens. Next base: position 153,050,456 of record NC_000007.14, read on the forward strand.
TTTTATTTTTTAAATTGACAGATAAAATTGTATGTATTTACCATGTGCAACATGATGTTTTGATATATGTATATACATTGTGAATGCATAAATCTAACTAAAATACACATTACCTCACGTATTTACAACTTTTATGGTGAGAACACTTAATATGCACTCCGTTAGCATTTTTTCAAGAATATAGTATGTTATTAACCATAGTCACCATGTTGCACAAGTCTGTCGAACTTATTCCTCCTGTCTAACTGAAATTTTGTATCCTTTAACCAACATCTCCCCAGTCCTCCACCCTTCAATGTCCCAGCTTCTGGTAAACACTATTTCTATTTCTATGAAATCAACCTGTGGTAACTGAATAGTACCTCCCACAAAGATGTCATCACCCTAATCCCTGGAACTTATGAATGTGTAACCTTACATGGAAAAGAAACTTTGCAGATGTGATTAAAATTATGGACCTTAATAGAGGAAACTTTTCCTGGATTGTCTCTACGGGCCACTGTAATCACATGAGCCCTTGAAAATAAAGAACTTTGCCCAGCTGGAGTCAGACAGATGTAGGATGGGCATGAGAGACTGCAAGCTTGAAGTGGAATCACCGCACAATTGCTGCCTCTGAGATGCAGGGACCCATATGTAAGGACTAGAGAGGAGTTCCTAGGAGCTGAGGGTGGCCCTTAGCTGGTGTCCAGTAAGGAAATGGGGACCTCAGTCCTACAACCACAAGAAGTTGAATTCAACCAATAACCCGAGTGAGCTTGGAAATGAGTTCTTCCCCAGAGCCTCCAGAAAGAAATGCAGCCTGCAGACACCTTGATTTCAACCTGGTGAGACTCGTGTTGAACTTCTGACCCACAGAAACGGCAAGATAATAAATTTGTGTCGTCCTGTAGTAATTAGTTACAGCAGCAATAGATCATGAATCACAGTCCCCATGGCCTGCAGGACAGCTCAGAACCAACACATGCCAGTAGCAGGTCAAAGGCTCGGCATCACTGTCCAGTTTCCAGCTGGTCTTTCTTCTCTGTCCTTCTCGTAGTTCTATTAATATTACGGGGTTCCTGTCTGGTCCCAAGCTCTAGTTCCCTGCCCAGTAGCTCTATCCTTTAAGAGCCAGGATCCTGCTCTGCTGTGTTCCCAACTTCAAAGACAGATGTCCAGTCTTTTAGCTCAGTTGCTCCAAGCAAACCCCCTCCTGATTTGCCAACTGCTGGGCCTGCAACCCACCCCATCGTCCTTAACTATCTCCTATCCAAGGTCTGCCACCTTCAGAAAGACATGTCCCTGATAATTCAGCTAATGATGCTTTGTCATAGAAAGCTCCTGGGAGGAAGGTGAGAAACCAAGCTTAGAAGTCTGAGAAGTCTGCATGGGAAATGGCATGAGCTAATGCACTGAAGCAAGATTGAGTGATGAAGTGATGTTGGCAACTCTGCAGGAAGAAGAGAGACGGGCTTGTGAAGCCCCAGAGGTTCAGTGGTCAAGTAAGTGTGGGGATGCCCTATTAAGTGTATGCAGAGCAGAGTAAGAAGGTTACCTGGCTGGATGAAGGACTGTCATCAGGAGACATGAATACAAGGAGCAGGAAGGAAGAACATTTGATGCATGAAGGATCTGAGAGGCAAGGCTGAACAAAGGTGAAAGAGAGAGCAGAAGTGTATGGAAGAAAGGCAGACAAGAAGAAGGAAAACATGACAAAATGGAAAGGGAAAATCGTATTACCTGAATGCCCACCATTTGCTAGGCATTGTGCTTTGCATATGTTTTCTCATTTGATTCTCACGACAACACTGCAAGGTGGATAGAATTTGCCTTCCTTTACAAGCAAAGAAAAGGAGGCTCAAGGTCAAATAACTCAGAAAGGAAGAGCCGTGATGCTATGCTAGATCTGTCTACACAAAGCCCCTGCTTTCCCCGCCTTCTCCTTTTCATCTACCGCCTCTCGTAAAAGGATAGAGTCTTAGTATGTGTGGAAACTCTGGGTGACTCTGACTGCAGAGAAAAGCCATTGTCTTCATCTGATGTCTTTATAGTGACTTTCCTCAAAAGGAAAAAACTTCCCCCAAGAAGAGGAGTAACAAAAGCAGACAAGGGCTCAGCTTTCCTGGTAGTTTCATTCTATCTTCAAAGATACAACAAAATGAAACAGACATTTTCATCCCTGAAAATATCCAGGGCCATTTCCCAGCCAAGTGTCATGGATGGTGAGGTGTTCTCTCCACTTTCTTACCTCTGTCATGCTTTGTGAAAAATCTTCTCTTCCCTTCCACCAGGAACTGTATTGCTCCTCTGGTTATAGTGTTGAAGTTAATAGGATAGAATCTTTTTTGCGGGGGGACTGAGAGGAGAGGGATGACTGATGAAAAGAATTTTATTTTCAAGTTACAATTACATTATGAATTAACAGTTTTATCCTTAGAAATACTTTTGTCTTGTATCTAATTTGTCTAATAAGTTTAAGTCCCCAAAAGATTTATTTGTTTGTTTCTTATGTTGTTACTTTAAACTAGCATAATATTGACAAACAATCATAGTACAGGGCATTTCTTGACTAATGACAAGTTAGAAGAAATGGCTGGTTTGGAAAGTCTGACAGCAATTCATCCAAGGCGTTATTACATCTTCTTTTTATTTTGTTTTATATTTCTCCTCCCCCTTTCAGCTTTATTAAGGTGTAATGAATACATTAAAATTGTATATATTTACAGTATACAATATGATGTTTTGATATATATAATGAAATGATTAAACCAAGCCAATTAACATATTAATCACTTTACATGCTAATTGTGTGTGTGGTCAGGAGATTTAAGAAGCACTCTCAATGGTCTTGAACTTAACAATATTTTGGCTTTGTAATGGTGTGAAAGCTATACGCATTCCAGAACATCAATAAATTACATGAGATATTGAATACTTTATTACAAAATAGGCTTTGTGGGCCGGCGCTGTGGCTCACGCCTGTAATCCCAGAACTTTGGGAGGCCAAGATGGGTGGATCACGAGGTCAGGAGATCAACACCATCCTGGCTAACACGGTGAAACCCCGTCTCTACTAAAAATACAAAAAATTAGCCAGATGTGGTGGCAGGTGCCTGTAGTCCCAGCTACTCGGGAGGCTGAGGCAGGAGAATGGCGTGAACCCGGGAGGCGGAGCTTGCAGTGAGCCGAGGTCGCACCACTGTACTCCAGCCTGGGAGAGAAAGCGAGAATCCATCTCAAAAAAAAAAAAGGCTTTGTGTTAGATGACTTTGCCCAGTTGTAGGCTAATGTAAGCGTTTTGAGTACATTTAAGGTAGGCTAGGCTAAGCTATGACGTTGGTAGTTTAGGTGTATTAAATGCATTTTTGGGTACAATATTTTCATCTTATGATGGTTAGCCCCAACATAAGCATGTATATGCAATATAATATTATTAACTATGGTCATGAGCTGTACAATAGATCTCCAGAACTTACCTATCCTAACTGAAACTTTGTGCCTTTTGACCAACTCCCCATTCCTCACCCTCCTCACCCAAGAAAGGATTCTAAGGCCATATTTCCTTGGCTTAAGTCCCTGCTCTGCTACTTCTTTCTAAGAATGTGACCATGTGGAGCTGAATCTCCATTTGTAACTCAACTGAGCAGGCTTTCACCTGGCAACTCCAGTCATCGGGCATCCTCCACAAATTAATTTATGATGAGCAACAGAGAGTGAGACCCTCCTAAAGCTCATTGAAGGGGTTAATGCCCATCTCATGGGTCCTATGTGGACATTTAGGAGAAATATCAAGGAAGGAATAAACCTCTCCTTGTTTCTTTTTGGAGGAAAGTCAGAGCGGAGTTGGGAGAGGTATGCACACTGGAAAATGAATAACACAGCTCAAGTAGAGTCTTGTGTTGCAAACAAAAATGATTATGCAACTGCTGCAATTTTGGAGCTTCTTGGGGGCATGCAGATCCTGTTTTTCTGCTATTATTATAGTCAGTGTAAGTAATTTAAATGTTTGTAAGTCAACATCGTGTCACCAGTTCTACATGGTGGCCATTCCTGCATAGAAGGATTCCAAGGACTCAAGGATGGTAGAACTCATCCTCCTGGTATGTTGGCCTTTATGAATTGACAAGTTATCGGAAACGGTGGCAGTTCATTACTTTGAGTGCTTTCCCTTTCTCTTGTTACCACCAAGGAAGGCTGAGCTCACCCAAAGGGCTCATTTCTCCCATCTAATTGTTACTAAGGGAAGGAAATGCCTAAAGTCATACAACTCTAGTGTTTGAGAGACATAAAAGAACTTAAGGCCCACTTGATTAAAGCATTGTATCACGTATGACATGTCTACTGTGTGCCAGATACTGTTACAAATATTTGCATGGAAGCTATCTCAGCACTTTATGAATGTACTTTTGAAAAAATTCATGTTTGATTCTCACTATAAACTGTGAGGAAGATATGGAAAGTATTAGTACATTAAAATGACCACAACCACTAAGGATCTGAGAGGTTGAATGACTGAACCCAACTGGTAATTGGAAGAGCTGGGAGCGACATCAAGAGTTTTGGCTCTTGTCCTGTGATCTTCTCATTGTGTGGTCATGTTTTTCTGAGGACAAGTTTGGATATGGTGAAGGAGGAGGGGAGTGAGAGAGCACAGGGCTCCACTGCAGGCATGGGGAGGAGGAGCTGGCAGAGGGAGTGATGGCTGAAGATGCATCTGCTTCTTCCCAGGGTTTCTAGGGCCAGCTGTAGCTCATTTGGCTGTTGTTGATTTACTCCCCTAGCTTTCTTCTGGAGGACAAATAGCAATCAGTGGATATTGAGTAGTATTGGGTTAGACTGTGAGATGTGTCTGCTGATCTGTTCCACCTACTCCACTTGTACCTGCTTATCTCTTAAGTGATGTAACCATGAAGCACTCTTTGCACACATTTCACTTTGCAAATCTCCTCCTCTTTGTGCAAATTTCACTTCGCATCTCCTACACTTTGCACAAATTTCACTTTGCAAATATCTCATTAATGGCCTCTGAAGTTAATTTTGGATTCTCTTAATTTAATAATTGTTTAGAAGTACTTTTTATGATTTGCTGCCCCTTTCACTGAACCCGTTTGTCCCCAAGAGCAGGGACCACATCTGTTTTGTTTCTTGTTGTATCTCCAACAGTATATCTCCCAGCTCCTCCTTCTGCTTCCCCTTCTCCATTTATCTGCACTTTGAGAAAAGGCAGTAGAGTTGAGATAGGAGCTGGTGAGGCCAGCACTGGGCTTTCCATGGGAACACACCAAGATCCACTCCTGACTCCCACGTGGCTGCTGCTGGTCAAACCTGTGCCTGGTCTCCCCAGCCCTCACGAGGAGAAAAAAACAGCTCCTCAATCCACCTCTGTAGGGAGAGATCAATGATGATAATGACTATAAAAATAAGAGTGTATGAGGGAAAACATGGTGCATTTAGATAAACTTTTTTTTTTAAAAAAAACAAACGACAGTTTTTAGTCTTGTGAGGGAAACCATTAGCTTGGTCTTTGGTATCAGCAAAAGCTAGATTCTAACCATGATTCTTCCTTTTCCTAGATATGTGTGTGACTAGCTAGGTCCACCATGGCATTAGTTAAGGTTCTCTGGAGAAACAGAGTTAACAGGATATATACAGATGTGTAAGAGGAGGTTTATTATGAGAAGCAGCACACGTGATTACACAGGCCGAGAAGCCGCACAACCTGCTGATCTGACATCTGTGAGCTGCAGAACCAGGAGAACTGACGATGTAATTCAGTTTGAGTCTGAAGTTCTGAGAGACAGGGGTTAGGGGTGAGGAGGGGACTGCTGGTCCAGGGTCCAAGGCTCCAGAACCAGGAGCACCAAGGTCTGAGGCAGGAGAAGGAGGATGTGCCAGCTCAAGAAGAGAGGGAGAGAGAATTCACCCTTCCTTGCCTTTTTGTCCTATTCAGGGCCTGAGAGGATTGGATGATCCCCAGCCGCACTAGGGAGGGCAGATATTCTTTACTCAGTTTATCAATTCAAATGCTAATGTCTTCCCCAAACACCCTCACAGATGCTCCAGAAATCATGTTTCACCAGCTATCTGAACATCCCTTAGCCCAGTCAAGTTGACACAGAAAATTAACCATCACAGGCATTTAATTTTTTATGGCCTCTTCCATCATTTATATGAAAAGAGATAAAAATATGCACCCCTGAGTATGTTGAAAAAAGGAATAGCCATGTCCATAATGTGTCCAATACAACACATTGTACAGGTTGAGTATCCCTTATTTGAAATGTATGGGATTGGAAGTGTTTTGGACTTTTTCAGATTTTGGAATATTTGCATTATGCTGACTTTCGATCTGAAAGTCCAAAATCTGAGATGCTTCAATGAGCGTTTCTTTTGAGCATCATGTCAGCACTCAAAAAGTTTCAGATTTTGGGCTGGCCATGGTGGCTCATGCCTGTAATCCCAGCACTTTGGGAGGCCAAGGCGGGCAGATCGCCTGAGGTTGGGAGTTTGAGACCAGCCTGGTCAATATGGTGAAACCCAGTCTCTACTAAAAATATAAAAATTAGCCAGGCATGGTGGCAGGTGCCTGTAATCGCAGCTACTGGGGAGGCTGAGGCAGGAGAATCACTTGAACCCAGGAGGCGGAGGTCGCTGTGAGCCAAGATTGCACCTGGGTGACAGAGTGAGACTCCATCTCAAAAAAAAAAAAAAAAAAAATTCAGATTTTGGAGCACTGCAGATTTTGGATTTTCAGATTTGGAGTGCTCAATCTGTATGTGGTAGCCATTTAATTAAAGAGAGAAGGAAATAATAGTGAAGATAGTGATCATAAAAAAGATGAAGGAGGAAGAGAATGAGGAGGAGGAGGAATGGGAAAGGAAGGTGATATCTGAACTCATAAAAGTCACTACTTTTTTAAGCCTCTGTTCCCTGATTAGTCAAATGTGTCTACTGCAATTGCCTCTCTTTTTTGTGAAGATAGAGTGAAACAATGTATGATGAAGGATCTCAGAAACCATGAGGTGCTCTACACCCAGAGACATGATTACTAAGTAAAAATGTTATAGATCTATAAATCATGTAGCATTTTCAAAGAGGGGCATGTGCAACACAGGAGTGGTGCACATCGAGGTGCTTAGGAGGCATTGACTCTCAATGTGACATGGATCTGGCATTGACTCTCCATGGTGCACGTAGAAGTGCTTGACTCTCAATGTGACACAGACCTGGCCCTGTGAGTCCTCACCTGGAGAGGAAATGTGGTTTGTCTCTCTGATTCTGGACACTCCCATCTGCCCTACAATAAACCAATTGATACACACACTATTTGCCGTGCTTGATCTTGTAAAGCAATACTTTCTTTGTCAACAGTTTTAATCAGAGTGGTGAAGCCAGATTGAAACTGTTTAGCTAGGATAATGGGCTGACAGGAGATTAAACAGGTCCCTTGACAAGTGACTGTCCCTCAAATGCCAGCACTCTCGCCTGGCACAGCTGCACGTAATCAGCACCCAAATTCCCACCTGCCGGGAATACATCACCCGATCTTTGCTCCTGAGCCTGTGACACCTGGAGAATGATCACACATTCCTTGCATGTTATCTCTCCTTGGCCACTGAGGTGGTTTTGGGGGCTGCACTGAGAATTATTACCTTGTTGATCTATCTGTTCCCAGCCCATTTTCCCAGCCTAGCAACAGATTACACTCCACAGGGAAAAGCCATGTAATACTCTTAAGACAATTCCTTACCACGTAAGAGCAGCCATGTAATTGCTCTTAGTGACCAATTTCTCATATTCCAGGTTCATTTGAAACGCACAAGAATTAAAGTTTCCAGCAAGGCTTGAAAGACACAAGAAGTTGAGTATTAATTTAAGAGGTACATTTGGGGATATTCCCTACTCATGCTTGATGTTTGATGAAAGACTTATGGTGGGTGACTTAGCTAATGCATCTACCCTTTAGTTATTTCACTTAGCAGAGAAGCTGGATGGATTTTGTGCTCCAAAACCGTGTCCATCCAGCTCTGGATCATGTGGGTGTTTTGTGAAGGACACGCTGCTCTCATGTCACCCCCACTTCCTCTTCCGCCTTCCTTTGGCCTTTCAGTGATCTACCATTCTCCGCTTTCTTGCTCCTGCTCTGTGACCCTCATTTTCTAAAGCTATTCAGTTTTTACCTGCTCTCCACAACCCTCCCATGTTCCTCTGGGTAGATGCCCCTTTCACTCTGCTGCCAGGGACAACTGGGCCATTTCTACCATAACACATCCTATGCACTGCTGCAACTGACTGGTGTGACTCTCTGCCACCAGACTGTGGGCTCCTCTTGAGAAGTGATTTCTCCATGCATTTTTATGTCCCTAGGGGCTGGTCCAGTGCCTGGCACAGTGGCCAACTTTATTAGACATGAAGATGGTTTTCAACCACTAAGTGAGTCTCTCAATTGTAAGATATAGAACAAATATTTTGTTATGAGATTGTGAAGTTTGCAAATGAATTACATAAAAACGTAAATTACAGAGGCATATTGGTCAGATCCTGGCAGGAAACAGAGGGCAAATTCATACTGGGAAAGGGAGGGGAATTCAGCGAGAGACTATATGTAGGAGGCCCAGGCAGGTTTTAGGAAGCCTAGAAGGGGTAGTGGGACCCTGGGATTAGCAGCTATGGGCCCATTACTACTCCTGGACCTTCAAGGAGATTGGGCAGCTGAATCCAGAGAACATAGCTGTGTGTAGAGGGACACTGACAAAGGCTGTGGTCTTTGATAGAGAGATATGGCAAGTCCATGGTGACCCAGGAGAGGGGAAGCTGAGGCAAGAAGTACCCCCATCACTCTCTCTGTTCTCTCCAATCCGACAGTGATACCCACTGGCCACATCAAAACTGCAATCAGGGGACTTTCTACAAAGGTCAGCATCCTGGGGCATAGGCATATGGAGGTCAGTGGGGAGTGGATGTGGAGGGGCAAAGAGAAGCTCTTCACCCATTTTGCCGTATAGCATCTACTCTGATTTTTTTTTTCTGTTTGTTTGTTTGTTTGTTTGTTTGTTTTTAGATGGAGTCTCGCCCTGTCGCCCAGGCTGGAGTGCAGTAGCACATCTCGGCTGACTGCAATCTCTGCCTCCCAGGTTCAAGTGATGGTCCTGCCTCAGCCTCCCGAGTAGCTGGGATTACAGGGATGTGCCACCATACCTGGCTAACTTTTTTTTTTTTTTGTATTTTTAGTAGAGACAGGGTTTCACCATGTTAGCAAGGATGGTCTCTATCTCCTGCCCTCGTGATCTGCCTGCCTTGGCCTCCCAAAGTGCTGGGATTATAGGCGTGTGCCAGGCCCCACTCTCATTTTTATCCAGGTGAAAACTTCGTGTCTCCAATATGGACATGGGGACACACAAATGTGAACTGACTGCCATGCCCTCATGGAGTGTCACATTCCATCACTCCTGCCTAATGCATACATATGCTGCCACCAGGGTTTTCATGGAATGTTGCATTAGAAAAGGCCAGGGGAAAGAAAGATTAATGTATCTAAAATATAGCTTGCAAAGCTTCCTTTCTGTAGCTGGTTAAAAGGCTGATGTTGGCCGAGCATGGTGGCTTAAACCTGTAATTCCAGCACTTTTGGAAGGCTGAGGTGGATGGATTACCTGAGGTCAGGAGTTTGAGACCAGCCTGGCCAACATGGCAAAACCCCGTCCCTACTAAAAATACAAAAATTAGCCAGGCATGGTAGTGGGCTCCTGTAATCCCAGCTACTCAGGAGGCTGAGGCATGAGAATCGCTTGAACCCAGGAGGCAGAGGTTGCAATGAGCTGAGATGGCACCACTGCACTCCAGCCTGGAGGATAGAGCTACTGTTTAAAAACACGAACAAAAAGACTGATGTTAATAATTGTGGCTGACTTCTCCTACCACCCAGTTCACATTCTTCTTAATCTCCACTAACACTTCAGATGGACACGGTTCTTCACATAATGGGGTGACCCAAACTTTGATTCCTATAGAATTTAATGATTGGTAGTCTTGTCTTTGTCAGGTGATGCATGTTGCCATTTACAAGAGCTGCTGGAAAGGGGAGAACTGAGAGCATCCCAGTGAGCTCCGAAGGATCCACATCTGGTCTTCCTTGCCCAGTTGTGTAGCAGCAACCCAAGTTCCTTTAGATAATTGGGATCAACCATCCTGACCAATTCTGTGATCTCTTTCTCTTCCTGTTGGTTCAATAGCATTAAGCTCCCCAAATGACCAGGGGACTATCTCAGATTTTGGCTCATCCCATCCATGAGGATGTTCTCTGCTGGCAGCATTCCTCTCTTGAGCAGCTCAGACCCTCAGCCTAAGTTTAGAGGTGGGAGTGGTTCTGAAAGCACAAATTATCCCCATGGGTTATTTGGTATTATGGTGGGAGGGTCCTCCCAGTTCTACTCATTTGTTCACAAACTTCTGATTATGGGGGAGAAGGCATCACTTATTGGTCACAGGCAAACCACAGACTGAATCCAGTAGGAAGCACCTAGCCTTGCAGGGTGTAGCTTCTAGCTGACCCATAACAGGCCCTCCTTAGGCCTTCTCACATCACTAGCTGCTGCTGGGGGCTAGGCAGTCAGAAGATCAGTAAATTTCATGGGTACAAGACTCGGCAGCCCTCTCATTGCCACATCATGTATAGCATGGACTGTGGCCATACTGTGTTGGGTATTATGGTGATGGGTGAAGCATTCTGTTATCGAAGTGCTCCTGTGCATGTACAACTTTATGGTTTGGTGGATGGGAAAATATCTAGTTCATGCAGTTCTGCCATTGACTGTCCATGGTGCAGGTAGAAGTAGCAGTTTGAGATACTCAGTCATCTGACCTCCCATTATCAGGTGCTCAGACTAAAACAGGTCATGAATGCCTTTTCACGGAGAATAGTTGTTGCCAGAGGACACATAGCCTCTCTCCAGGACCTCAGGCTTCTACTAATAAGGGTGGCCAGAGGCCCATCTATCATCTCTTTCTGCTGCAGACACATCCAATATAATTCATTCTGCTTGGTCATAAGTGTCAATAGTGAGGCAGCTTGGACTGCAGCTGGAATCTACTGCAGTGACTTTTATTGCTCTAGGCCCTAAAGCTGGAAGCCTTATTACCTGTTACTCCTTACACAGATAGGAATAGAATTCCCCAAGGTGAATGTGTTGCTACCAAATGCCAAGAAATTCACCAAGCACCATGCATCTCTCTTTACATGAGCAGTGCAAGGTGTAGTAACTTGTCTCTTATCCTAGAAGGGATATCCTGACATGCTTCAGATTATTGGTACTCTAGAACTGTATTGTTTGGTACAGTAATCATTCACCAAATAGGATTATTAAAATATAAATAAAATAAAAATTTAGTTCCCTCATCACACTAGCCACATGTTAGAGACCCTCAAGGGTCATGTGTGGCCAGAGGCTACTGTGTGGGATAGCCTATCCACAGGACATTTCTATCAGTGCAGAAAGTTCTATTGGACAGTGCTGCTAGAAAGTGCAACCACATAGCAGGCCTCTGAACTTTCTGGGGTTTATCTCGCACTCTCTGGCACTCACATGTCTTCCTAGGTGTGGTAGCTGATGCTTGTGATGCTCTGTACCATGGTCCCTGGACCTGATTTCAGCACTGCTACGTGGACAGCTCCACGCCCCGCTGCCAGCATTACACAAACTGCAAACGACACAGCTGATCTTTGCTCATCAGCTTTCTCAGAGGCTACTCAAGGCTGCTTCAACTATGCACACGTACAACCCAAAGTATAACGAAGTCAATGCCTCCGGGGAATGCTCAGCCAACGGTGGGTGGGAGTTAGTGGATAAATAACCGACCTCTCCATCCTGTGATAGAGCAATTCTACATGGTTCCTAGATGATTCCCATTGGGTTTGAGCTCCAGTTGTCTATGGTAGATTAATAACTTGAATTTTATTCCACGAATCACTTTTCGTTTCTTGACATCACCACCCAAAGTAAACTCTCTGTGAAAAATTCGTTGAATCAGAGTCCACTTTCTGGGGAATCAGATTAACACAATTTATCTTGGAAGTGACCCTATGAAGCAGACCTTCAAGATAGGATTCTGAAATTGGATTGCTTCATGGCTATATGAATATAAGAATCCTGTCACTGGAAATCAGTGGGCTGGTTATCAGCCCTGACCTATGGCAGCATTACGATAATCAAGACTTTCAACTGGGGCAGATTGGGATGAGGTCTATGTGAAAGTGAGGACATTGATTTATGCAACAACTCTAGCAATTAAAAGGAATGAGCATGGTGGCTCATGCCTGTAATCGCAGCACTTTGGGAAGCCGAGGCAGGCAGATCACTTGAGGTCAGGAGTTCGAGATCAGCCTGGCCAACATGGTGAAACCCCATCTCTACTAAAAATACAAAAATTAGCCAGGCATGGTGGTGCGCGCCTGTAATCCCAGCTACTTGGGAGGCTGAGGCAGGAGTATCACTTGAACTTGGGAGGCAGAGGTTGCCGTGAGCCAAGATTGCGCCACTGCCTTCCAGCCTCGGTGACAAAGCGAGACTCTGTCTCAAAAAAAAAAAAAAAAAAAAAAAGGAATGGGGTGATGGTAACTACCAGGGAGGTAAAGTGGGATCCACACCTTGAAGAAATAGAATGAGAGGTGCAGGTCATCCAAGCATCAACTCGGTGTGTTCTGTGGTGGCCCGAAGGTTTTCATGGCAGCATTTCAGGAGACCCTCATCTGCAGCTAGAGGGAAAGCTGTGGAGAAAATCAGGTCGCAGATTTAATCATAATATGGCACGATTGCCAAGGATCTTGATTCCTTTGCTTTGACAAGTTTCCTCTGCTAAGATCTGGGATAGAGGTGCTGAAAGGATGCTCCTGAGAATGTGGAATTCCCAGGTCCCTCAAAGCCTCCATGCAGGAAGAAGCAGTGCAGCCCCCTCTCCCAGAGGGTATCAGCCTACCATTACCTGGAGACCATGTAAAGTTCTCACCTGAGGCTGAGGCCTTGAGGATGATGCTTTTCTGCTGATCTGCTTCTGTCTCCCCTCATAATGTGAGGGCGGTCAGTGATCTCTCAGGTCTTTTTTGGCTCTTAAAATCCCATGATTCCTTTGCAGCCCACACCTCGTTCTCTGATTTCCCCCACAGGATTGCAGGGACTCTCACCTTATGGAGAAGACAGGTGTTTGTAGGAGGTATGCTGGGAAGAGCTTTGCTATATCTCCGGAAGGAAGAAGATTGTTTCCCCTTGGGGGATGGCACTTTCAACATGTGGGAGCTTGTCGGGTCACAGAAGAATGACAGGTGAGCTTCAGTGATGCTCCTGGTGACTAATGCTGTGGTTAAGAATGCAGCTGTAGAAAGCTGTCTAAAAAGCATGGATCAGACAATTGTATCTTATTAATTCAAAACCTCCAACAATGAAAGCTTACGATTGCAAGAATAATCTTTGTTTCTGCAATGATTTGATGGGGCAAAAGGGAAATAATCCTTAAATGGATGATTTTTTTAACCATAAGGCAAGTGAAATCTCAGTAAAAGACAAACTCTCTCCCCACCTTGCCCACATTGCCTCCACTCTCACACTTATACACATGGAATGCTATTGAGAGGCTGGTGTATAATGAGCCCATCAGAGAGCCGAGGCAGCTTCAGTGTTGTCATCTGATGTTGTCTACCTGTGGGAGATAGCACAGCATGGGGTTTTGCTGTCAGATTCATATCTGAACCCAGACTCTAATAACTTATTAGCTGTGTGATTTTGAGCATGTTATTTAGCTTGAATGAGCCTCAGTTTCTGCACCTTAGAAAGTGGGCTTATTCATACTTATTTTATAGGATTATTGTTGTGTTGGTTTATATATTTAGCCAGTATTTATTTACGGACTATGTGTGTATTATATACCAGATACAAGTCCCAGGTGATTCTGTATATGATATTCCACTTAAAACACCAAGGCTCTATGCAGCTTGTTCCGTTGTCTCTCTTTCTATGTGCCTTATCCATTTTAGCTTTCCATTCACTCACCCATCCACTCATTCATCTTCCCATCTATCCACCCATATACCCATCTACCCATCTATCTAGTCATTACCCATCCATTCATTTATGTGTCTATCCATCTACAAATCCAACCATCCATTTTCCCATCCATCCATCTACTCACCTATCCACCCATCCACCCTTTCACCTTTCCACCCACTCATCCATCCATCCACCCACCTGTCCATCTGCCCATTTACCTATCCACCAATCCTCCCACCCATCTCCACCTCCACCCATCTACCTATTTACCCATCCATCTACCCATCCACCCACCCACCTGTTCTAAGTGCTGGAGAACAGGCATTTTTATGCAATGCCTGCCTTGAGCTGGTTGTCAGGACACACATGTTCTGCCTTCTCTGCCATAGAGGCAACAAATGTAGTGGCTGAGAACACTGACGTTGGAGCCAGAATGCCTGGGTTTAAATCTTATCACTGCCACTTACTAGTCACATCACTTTGGGCACATATTCAGTTGCATTGCATCTCTGTTTCCCTTTTGTAAAATGGGGATGATGATTACAATAATTCACATAGTTAGTGATAAACAAAGAGTTAAAATGGTGGCTGGCATGCAATACCCACTTGCCTTATTTTGAATAGACTGGGCCCCTAAGTGCAGTGGATTCAGCATAAGGTTTTAAATGAGGTAGACCTGGGTTTGAAAGTTGAGCTCACTATTTACCAACCTTGAACTCTTGAGCAAATTATGACACATTTCCTGAGTCCCCGTTTCCTCAGTTGGGAATATTGCCAACTTACAGCTCAAAAATGTTGACAGGCAGCATCATCTAGTAGAAAAAGCATAGATTCTAAAGTAAGGAATTCCATATTTGAGACTTGGCTCTAAGTCCTGTGATCTTAAATAAGACAGTTGGACAGGTCTTCAGTTTTTTTTTTCCTGTAAAATGGGAATAATAGTTACATGTATCACAGATTTTATAGTGAAAATAAAGTAGTATATTTGAAAACACTGTTTTGCAGTATGAAGCACACTATGAATTCTAATGGTTGGAAACATAACGGTTGCACAGCTGTTCATGTGGCTGTGGTGTGAAGTAAGGATAAAGCCCCAAGAGTTTTGACCCGGTGGGCTCAACCCTGGTCTTGACTTCTGTCTAGTTTGTGATTCTCTAGCTGAGGTGCCAGGACCCCTGGGTACGTGACAGTATGCTAGAAGGGTTTGCAAAACCGCTTCTTGGAGGACCAAGTTTCCACAAAGGTTTGGAAAAATTCGTCCTTTTCTATTAATGACCATGGAGTAGACTATAACTTATTCATGACTTTTTACATTAAAATATGAAGCTTCAAGGAAAATTTGTGATGGTAGTGAGCTGCCTCTGGCTCCAGGACACCATCATCTCTAACCACTCTCCTCTGACTGGTGGTATCCTGGTGGAAAAGGTTAAGAAGCACCAGCATTAGTTGTTCGCCACAATTAGCATGTTCTCTCCCTGAATTGTAGGTTGTACTCTCCAAGAAGAGGTGCAAGTATTTCATCCTAAGAGTAGGGTATGCTTTCCTTGAGGTCTAGGAACTCTGTTGGTGAGAAGACCGTCAGCCAGAGTAACCTTGACTGTAAGTCACAAAAAAATCTCCAACTCACATTGGCTTGAGCAATAGGGAATTTATTTTCTTAAACACTCGAGGTCAGAGCAAGAGTAGTCCCCAGGGTTGAAGATGATGCCAAAAAGGCCCAGGCTTCTTTTCAGATGTCCACAGTATAGCCTATGGTCACCAGATAACACGATGGGAGCTGGCGATATTTGCGGCTACCTGTCTCTGTTTTTCTACACAGCAAGTGGAGGTCGAGGGAGGATATTTAGAGTGTGAGCCTGAGAGACTTCCCACCAATCACAGTATAGAAAGACTCCACTTCAGTCTGATCGGGCACCTTGGGTCATGCCTCCACCTGTAGCCCAGTAGCAGTCACTGAGGACTGGAGTGAGGGCTGCTGCATGGAGTGTGTGTGAAGGTGGAGAGGTAGGGAAGGAGGGCAGGATGCAGTCGGGTAGACAATCCTCAGCCTCTGCTTCAAGTGCCCTCCAGGGAGAAAGAGTAAATGACCTCTGAAAGCCTTGCCTAGGGCTGTCAGGACTTTCCTTGCCAGGCAAATTTCGGTCCATGCCCCTAATACAAAATTGCTCACCGTGGTTGTGATGTGAAATTGCTTGATTCCTGGTTTAGTTTGCTATAATTTCCATTTCCCACGAAGCAGAGAGGACAATGAGAAGAAATGTTATTTTGAGAACAAATAATGAGCTCACTGAGAGCAGAGAGAACCTGGGGGAAGGTGCCTGTGTCTTGTGAAATTCATAAAGGCCAAGACAGGGCATTGCCAGACATCCACCTTAGGAAAAGCTTAGGAAAGCCGACTTCAGGCCTGAGGAAGGGATCCGCGTGAGCTGAGTCAGAGACTGAACAATAATGTGTGTCTCAAGAGGAAGCTTGAAACCCTGACAGTATAATTATGAGAGGGAACGTGGCATAACACTGAGTATGTGCTTTGGCGTCTCTTTTCATCTTAAACCCAAGCTCTGTGACCTTCCAGCTTTCTGTTCTGTAGTAGGAATAAAGTGGGAATACCACTTCTTATAAGAATTAGAGAGAGCACATGTAGTGTTCAGATAACATGTTGATGATGAAGAAATGGTAGTTCTGATTAGGTTGGTACAAAAGTAATTGCAGTTTTTGCCACTGAAAGTAATATCATTGATCTTAAAAAGTAAGAAAAGGGCGCTGGGTGCAGTGGCTCACACCTGTAATCCCAGCATTTTGGGAGGCTGAGGCGGGTGGATCATCTGAAGTCAGGAGTTTGAGACCAGCCTGGCCAACATAGTGAAACCCCATCTCTACTAAAAATACAAAAATTAGCCAGTTGTGGTGGCGTGTGCCTGTAGTCCCATCCACTCGGGAGGCTGAGGCAGGAGAATCACTTGAACCTGGGAGGTGGAGGTTGGAGTGAGCCAAGATTGTACCACGGCACTCCAGCCCGGGCGACAGAGTGAGAGTCTGTCTCCAAAAAAAAAAAAAAAAAAAAAAAAAAAAAGTAAGAAGAGGGGGAACATATTTAATGAAATTACATGGGTCCTTTTTGATGCAATAAGAATTGAATTTTAATTTTAATAACACATGTTCAAGAGTCAGGGAAGGGCCACAAATGCAGAATGAGTCTGAAAGCGTGCCTTGAATTTTTTTTTTTAAATGTGTCAGTAAGGGCAAAAGTGACTATGAAAAATGCTTAAGATATCAAAAAGGCTTTTAAAGAAAATCTGTGTTTGGAGCAAGATGAGGAACAAGAAAGGGGCAGATGGTGACAGATGGCACAGGACAAAATGGACTTTGAGGTCTTTGCTGCTGTCTCCTTCAAGCTGGGAAGAGTAAAGCAAACACTGGAGAGAAGCAACTGAAGAATGAGATGGGTGAGAGTCAGTAAGAAATGTCCAACCTGATTTAGGTGAGGGTATCTGCTGACCCAGGAAAATTGTATCCAGGGAACTGAGAAAATTTGCAGGGTGCTTAATTGGTGAGTTCTCTAGATGCCTCTAGTTAGGCATTCATCTTTATTTATTGGCTTAAAGATGGGTAACAGAAGACTGTTAACCCTGGCTGGCAGTCTTCTCTCTAAGACAGTTCCTAGACCTCAAAGAAAGCATACCCTACTGCAGAAGAGGAAGCTGGAAGGTCACAAGTCTGATGACATTGACGTGCAGATGTGCTTGCCTAAATACATTCATACACCTTATATATGTAGATGTATATGCACAGGCATACACACACACACACACACTCTCTCTTTTACACACACACACACATATATGTAGGTAAAAGCCAACAGATATCCTAGCCCAAGTAGGATAAACTTGATTTTAATCTCCCCAACTATAGCCTCTCCATTGTCCTTCCCGACCAGTTTCCTGATTGGTTCCCCCACCATGCTCACCTCTATCCAGGAGGAGCTAAATACCCACCTAGCAGGCACTTCTGGAATCTGGCCAGTGTATACCGTTTTTCTGTCCTTCACTCTCTGTTTTTGGCTGCCTAGAGCTCACTATGCAGGTTTCTTCTGGCTAGAGAGTGCCTATATTTTGGATCTATGACTATGCCTTATTCTTCCACTACAGATTATGATCCATACATCAATCCTCTAAGCAAACAGAAATGCCTTCATGGTAATCCTTCTGAAGTGTTTACCTTTCAGTGGGGCACAATCTGGAAGCAAGGTGCTTATCTCCAAAGGATATAAGAGCAGGCTGATAGAGCAAAGCTACACAGTCTCCCTCTCTCTGTCTCAAGAGTGAAGAGAGAGACAGAGATACACACAGATGCGGGCACAGAGAGAGAGACTGAGAGAGATACAGAGTGACCCACATGTATATAGGAGGGGTGAGGGAGAGAGAAATTGTGCAAAGCACGGGGTTTGCCTCCCATGCACAGGGGTATCTCATATATTTTTGGAAAAAAATGAATACTGTTCAAGATGATCTGTATAATAATTTAAGTGGTGGAATATAAAAGAGCGTTTATTCCTGGATTTAAAAAAATTAACCAAAATTAGGTTAATACCTTGATGAACTGAAATACTGTTAGGTTGGGGGGCAGCTCATGCTGGAAGATGAGAAGAGCAATGGGTGGGGCAGGGCCCATGCGGGGAGATGAGAAGAGCAATGGGTGGGGGCCCAAGCTGGGAGATGAGAAGAGAAGTGAGTGGGGCGGGTCCCATGTCAGGAGATGAGAAGAGCAGTGCCCAGGGTAGGGCCCATGCTGGGAGATGAATTTAGAAAGATGGGCTTAGCAATATCACAGAGGACCTCAAAGGCCTTCATGCTATTTCTGCTTTATCTTCAGATCATGGGAAGTCCTTCATAATGTTTCTGTGAATAGCAGAATGTCACAGATTGAGTCCCTTGGAACATAGATGCTGAGATTTGCATTAAGGAAGTTCATTGAGGGGAGGTGATGGTCTTTTGTGAACAATACCTGTGAGTTGTGAAGGGAACAGGATTTGGTGGAAGAAGAAATCGCAGCAGAGGCCTCAGGTTGACTCTTAAGAACTGTCCACATTGAGGCATGAGGACAGGTCTTTGTACCCCTGCATCAACCCATCATTGGGTGCAAGCTCTCTCCAAGAAGAAGGAATGGCCTTAGGTGGGTCATCTCCCTCTGGTCCAGAATAACTCCTGGAGCTGTGATACGTCCAGCTGGAGGAATGAGCACCTCGTTCCCAAAGAGGAATCTGGGTGGCACCCACTGCAGCGGTGAAGTTATCAGAGCCAAGAGGCTACTCTAGATGGGTGCTACTCTAGATGACTGTAGATTGTTACAAGTCCTCGATAAGATTAAGAGCTTGCATCAAAATTTAAAGCAACACAATGCTTCCTTCATTGAGTCTTGCTATGAACAAAAAGAAGGCGAAACTGAATGTGTGCTTAATGGCATTGACTTAAGCTCCACCACTAATGGCTTGTGAACTGGGACGGTTTGCAGACTGGCACCAGTCAGCAAGCCACACTTTGAGTGGCTCTGCTATAGACTATGTTCCTGTCCTGTAGTAAAATCACTCTAGGTCATTTTCTTATCAGCTACATCTGTGAAGTTAACCTTTCTCTGACTTCTAGAGTCTGAGAGATAAAACTTTGCTTACTGTCTGCTTTCCTAACATACCTTTTCTTTTTTTTTTTCCCCATAGTTGGGAGGTTGATTCATCTTAGTAGATCTTGTCAGATTGTGTCTGACTACATATATTTGCTTTTCCCAAATGTCCAATCTTTGTCAGTTGAGAAATATTTGAAGTGCTGACAAGGCTCTTCTGGACAACTCACCTATCATTGCAGAGTCTGTAGGATTAATTCTTCTTAATTATGTTAGTGCTGGGCCATCAATCAAGTTTATTGATGCTGTCTGGTCATGTCTAGAAGATTTATAGGTATCTATATTCATCCCACACAGAAGGAACCACAAATAACTTAGCTATCTTTGCAGTGTCTTTTTGCATGAGACAAATGTTATACAATTATTACAGAAAGCTGTTTAATAAGTAAGAACTTGCTTTTCTAAGTTTCCTCTGTGGGGTCTTGGAAGGAGAGTTTGGGAATTTGTAACAGTCTTCACAAGCAGTTTCGTTTCCCCCCTTTTAACGGAGTTAAAAACCCACTTTTCTGTCCAAGTGTTTTATTTCCAGTCCAGGAAATATTCTCGAGAATTATATGCAAGTTCACTAGGCAGAATGTAATCATTTTTTTGTACATGGCCTTGGCTTTCACATTGTTGAGCATGAAATGATTGGATTTCAGATAATCAGAAGGAAACAGAGTGAATCTAGAATCACAGACTCATGGGAAGTTGGAGCTAATGTAAATCTGTCTTTCTGTGTCCTGGTTGTCACAGACTCCTGGGAAGTTGGAGCTAATGTGAACCCGTCTTTCTGTGTCCTGGTTGCACATCACTGTTCTTAAAGACTGTGACTCTATCAGTCTGGAGTGAAGCTTCAGTATCTGCATATCTTTACAGGTAAGTCTTATGTTTATCTAGGTTTGAAGCCCATGGATGGGTTACTCCTTTCTTAACCCAGAGAGGGAAGGAACCTGGATGTGAAGAGCCAAGTGTCTGCACTGAGCGTCATCAGTGGGAGCTTAACCCAAGTCTTGGGAAGGGAACATGAAACCAGAGGCGATGGGGTTGTTGTAAGTGGTAAGCGCTTGAATGGAAGCTGTGCCAAGCCTTGTGCTAAGTTCATAAGTGCATCATCTTCGAAAATCTTCACTATAATTTAATAAGTAGGTATTATTATCCTTATACATGAGAAAACTGAGATCTAGAGAGTTTAATATTTTGACCAAGATGATATAACTGGTGAGCAGGAGTTAGGGGTTTAACCCAGGCCTTCTGATTGGAAACTTCTGTTCTTAACCTCTCTGCTGGAGAAAGAAAGACCAATGAGGAGACTTGCAGGGGGGCCTCCTGTAATTTCCTTTGGAAGTCAGGTTATACAATATATGTGCGTGAGAATTCATAAACGTCTAAGCATGTGGTGGTTTGGCAAATTGAATAGAATTCTCATTATGCAAGAAAATAAAGCAGTAGATAATAAAGCAGGGAGAAATAAGAATGGTTAGAGAAAGAAAAGTGGGAGAAAGTGATGAATGATTGATGGTGGAAGAAAAGAATGATCAGTGAGGACATACTTTTAGGAAAAGACAAAAAGTCCAAGCACTGAGATTGCTTAGCCAGAGAGTGGATGTGGTTTCACATTAATAGTGGGGATTGTAGGATCAATAGTAGCTGATAATCTGTGCCTGAGGAGTCTTTGGAAAGAGACAAACCAGAATATATATGTCTGGAAGAAAAACAAATGTGGTAATTTGTCTATTCCTGAATCACTTTTTCTGTAGGCGTCCAAAGGTGAGGAAGCGTGACTTGGCTAATGCCCTGACCTCCCTTCTGACATCCAGCTCTCCTACCAGTTACTGAAGGAGAGTTCTGCTCTTTAGACTAGATGGGCTCAGAGCTTTGATTTGCATACTAGATGTCCTCCTATGGTTATCTTGTTTAGGTTTTCCTGACCTCCTCATTTATAGCAGATTATTAGGAATAAATGTATTGGCACCTGGTAAGTAAAAATAATGACCAAAGTCTTTACACATCTAAATGTCTACCTGTAATTTGGAATAGAAAAGTTCTCACAAGGGAAGAAGTATTATACAAAATATATTGAACTTCAACCAGTCTTGAAGATTCAAGATCTTCCTTAGGACATTAAGACTTGTTGAACACCTGGTGCTCTCCGAAGCTATGGAGACATGTAGATTAGTTATTCTTGTTCTCAGTGACCCCAGATCACTGACCTTTTTCAAATCTGTCTACTTCTGTCTCTTTTCTAACAGTTACACATTTTAAAAGCAGGTCTCTCCACCATTGGTAAATGTTTCTCCTGCATTCTCCCTCTATAATTTGCTTTTAGATGACAAATATTATAATATTAATTCTATTTTATGTACTATTTCAGGGTAATAGTCTGTCAGGGCCTGCAGGGTATTCTTTCTCTGCAAAGTGCAATTTCTGACAGTCATTACACAATTATCTCTTAAATAAAATGAAACATACTGCTAGACATTTAAATAGCTGTTCATTTGAACACATTGCTTCCAAAGGAGAAATCAAGATAATTATCCCAATTATGAGCACACAAATAATTATTTAATTACTTGTCTGCCTTGCCTGCTAGATGATCACTTCATAAGAGAAGACTCTGGTGTTTTTCTCAATGCTTAATTTCTATTCCTACTTTAACACATTTATGCATAGTGCTCTTCATATAACAGTGAAAAGAATGTTTGCACTCTAATAGATTTTACATTTTCTAGTTGAGGTAGAGATAATGAACAGATAAATAGTTATAAAATGTCAGGGGTAATGACTATTGAAAAGGATGCAAGGCACACAGGAGGGAGTGGAGGGTGCTGGGTTAGTCTGTGGCTGGGCCTACAGTGCTTACACACTCATTTGCGGCCCTGTCTGTTATAAATGGCTACAGCGTTCAGGCATCTGCCTGCTGACTGCCTACATGGGGTTGTGTCAATACATGTTGGAGATAAATCAAACAACTGTGCCTCACGCCCAAGAGTAACTCTATGATTACTTAGTATAAGAAACTTATCGACATTTCTCCTTATGTGGAATTAGAGAAAGTGAAGTTCTGATGTTTGGAAGAATGATGAAAAAGCTACGATGCCAGAAACCAGGTGGGAGGTAGAAAAAGGAGGAGTTGTTCCCTGAAGAATTAGCCTTGGAAGGCAAATTCCAAGATTTCCTGGGCAGCCATGACACAGTGAGGAGCTTTCTCAGGAACAAAGAAAGAAATTTTTACTCTGTTAAAAACAAACAAACAAACCACAACTGAGGTAAGGGAATGAATGACCATTAAAAAAGGGGATGAAACGGAATGCCCTGTGAGGCCCATTGACTTCTGTGGAGTCAGCTCTGGGGCTGGTCTTGCCTCTCAGAACACAGACCTCCACTTCTTGTCTACCCAGTGTGTTTTTTTTGTTTTTATTTTTTGAGACAGAGTCTCACTCTGTCACCCAGGCTGGAGTGCAGTGGCGCAATCTTGGCTCACTGCAACCTCCGCCTCCCAGGTTCAAGTGATTCTCCTGCCTCAGCCTCCTGAGTAGCTGGGATTACAGGCACGCGCCACCACGCCTGGCTAATTTTTGTATTTTTATTAGAGATGGGGTTTCACCATGTTGGCCAGGCTGGTCTCGAACTCCTGACCTCAGGTGATCCACCCGCCTCAGCCTCCCAAAGTGCTGGATTACAGGCATGAGCCACCGTGCCCTGCCCAGTGTGTTGTTTTTAATTCATTAATTCAATGAGTTGTTTTTAATTCATTTTTTCAAACTATTTTATACATTGCAGAGGTATTTGGTGACTGGTGGTGATAAGGGATGCTGGACCTGAGTTGGGTGCCAGTCCTGTGGACTGATGGTCTGTGGGAGTGGGGACCTCAGTGGCCGTGCCCTGGTTTCCCTCCTGCCTTGCTGGGCAGGTGTGGGTGAATGTGCGTGGACCGCTGTCCACCTGCACCCAATGTGTCCACTTCCCATCCACCCAAGGCCTTAGGCCCGACTCCATTCATCTGTTTCTGTAGTGGCTGCCATGGCCTGCATACTCCCCGGGAATGCAGGGCTGACCAAAACAGCCAGGGCCCCTTTCCTCGGGGAGCTCACGCCGTGGAGACGTTTACAATGAACACTGTGGCAAGTTAAAAAATAAACTGTGACTATGTTTTAAGGAAGAGAAAGATGCCCTGGGGGAAAAATTGGGAGACTGGGGTCTGACGGCCCCTGCCAGGAGACAGTGCTTAACTGAGACTTGCAGGATGATGGGTGCAGACTAAAGAGGATTTATTTGGGCTTTTGATTTTATCAGCTTCTATTGCTACAACTTCAATGAGTTAGTTTTAATTCATTTTTTCTTTCCTTGTGTTTTCCTACTACTGAGGTGCTTTCTAGCTGTCTCTCTGGTTTTGTTTCATTTTTGAATGTTTTCATTCAAAATGCCTATTTTGTAACTTTTTTTTCTGCTTGTAGTATTATTTTTGCCGTCGGATTCTTCACATTTGCTCAATGCCTTAAAATTTTAAGTTCAGACATATTAGGTCATATTTCCTTTTTTATGTGTGTGTGTGTGCACGTGTGCAAGCACGCAGGCCTATGTGCATAAGTACGCATGTGTTCATTGGGAATGGCTGATCCAGAGCCCTTTGGCCTGATCTCCACTATCCATGGAAGCATCTTTCTTCAAATCTAGGGCTACATGAAACGTTTTGAAAACTATTGATCTGTGGTTAAAAATTAGCAGTTAAGCATGAGCTTCTCCAGGAGCTTCTGTTATTATACCCTTGAATTTATTAATTTGGCTTCATACAGGTGAGTTTCTTTGGTTGAGTCCATTATACAAAATGTCTTCTTTCTGTAATAGGTCAGGGCAGTGATGTTTGTTACTGGAGGAAGCTGAGAGGCTTAGAAAAGATGCTGAGACTTGGTGTCCATCAGATAATGTATGATGGTGAGAACTGGTGAGGACTGATGATTCCAGAGAAAGCATATGGACAGGGTAAAGGAGGTGACCTACGGTATCCAGGAAGTCTTTTCTACAGTGGGTTTAGGGTGCAGTGGAAGGGGAGAGGATTTTATAGGTTGTGGAAGTATTTGGTGACCGGTGGTGATAAGGGATGCTGGACCTGAGTTGGGTGCCAGTCCTGTGGACTGATCTGTGGGAGTGGTGACCTCAGCGGTCATGCCCTCATTTCCCTCCTGCCTCTCTGGGTGGGAGTGCCTGGATATACGTGAACTGCTGCCCAGCTGCACAGGGCTGCCAGGCTCATGCGGCCTCCCCAGCACTGCACCACTGGAGCAAGTGGGCGTTGATGCGTTTCCTCATTCATCCTTAATTATTCTGATTCTCTGGTGTTAAAATGGATCCAGGAAGGCTCTTGGAGCCAGTCCAACATCACAGTCTTTTGTCTCTGAACCAGTGGTTATTGTTTCTACCTCTCAAGGTGTATACCCCCTATTTTGGAAAATTATCTGCCATGTTGAAGTCTGAAAATATAGGTATGGGTGACTGGGTCATCTCATTCTCTGTCCCAGTTTTCCCTGAGTGTGGCAGCCTCCTTTGCTTGGGATAGTGGGAGCAGAGACTCTTAATTTCACCAAGGATGGACTTTGCATTTCTCATGTATATTCTCCTTGGATTATATGGGTTTTAGGACAGAAAGGGTGGCAGAAAACATTGTTATACTATATTAAATGGAAACCTAGAAGATTTAAAGTTTTTGAAGGTTTAATAGCTTTGATACAATTTCAACTGAAAAGAGTGAATTCTGTAGTCACGTCAAAAATTAGTAAACTACATTTATAAGAAGGCATCTGAGCTTATGATTGGCATTTAATTAGAATTAAATGACATGTTATCAAGTGTAATATTCTTCCTTTTGATCAAAGTCTAGTGCCTGTTTTGATGAAGCCTAGGCTGGCAGGGGAAGCCAGGAGAGGGGGCAGCTGGGACCAAGAACCATGTTGGGTCAAGTCAGACTGAAAGGATGCACGATGGTACTACATCTGCCTCCTAAACAAAGTGAAAACTTAATGGAGAATTGAAAACCAAAACCAGACCGAGGCCTGACTACTCAGCAGCTCATCCTCACATAGACTTTTTTTTTTTATACTTTAAGTTCTAGGGTACATGTGCACAATGTGCAGGTTTGTTACATATGTATACATGTGCCATGTTGGTGTGCTGCACCCATTAACTTGTCATTTACATTAGGTATGTCTCCTAATGCTATCCCTTCCCCCTCCCCCCATGCCCTGGTGTGTGATGTTCCCCTTCCTGTGTCCAAGTGTTCTCATTTTTCAGTTCTCACCTATGAGTGACAACATTCAGTGTTTGTTTTTTTGTCCTTGCGATAGTTTGCTGAGAATGATGGTTTCCAGCTTCATCCATGTCCCTACAAAGGACATGAACTCATCCTTTTTTATGGCTGCATAGTATTCCATGGTGTATATGTGCCACATTTTCTTAATCCACTCTATCATTGATAGGCATTTGGGTTGGTTCCAAGTCTTGCTATTGTGAATAGTGCCGCAATAAGCATATGTGTGCATGTGTCTTTATAGCAGCATGATTTATAATCCTTTGGGCATATACCCAGTAACGGGATGGCTGGGTCAAACGGTATTTCTAGTTCTAGATCCTTGCATTCTCACATAGACTTTTATGGCTTGGTCACTTGGGACAATCATTTTACCTTCAGAACAACAGAGTTTTTCAGAATTGAACTGTTTGGTAAATAGAAGAATCATTGTATGTCTTCATTATATATGTAAAGAAAATGAAGTGAAGATTCTGGTCTCGGTAGAAGTATTTTTCACAGAATTCAGTTTATTTTTGTTTCTTAAGAACAGCTAACCTAAATTTAAAAGTTTATTCAACTGGTATACAGCTTTCTGGGAGCATATCACTTGACGTAGCATATGTGAGCAGCGCCTTGCATGGCTGGAGGGGAAAGAGCAGACCCAGGCCCTGTGAGATTAAGGGGTGGGGTTGGGGGCAGTGGAGGGGTGTCCCAAAGGGTGAGGGGCCTCCCCGAGACACTCAGAGCTGATTGGTGCTTACAGAATCGCTCACGTCTGAGACAGTCATTTCCCCCACACTCTTCCTCCTCTACCAATGTGCAAAAAAATATGGCTGTTGTCTTATGTCAGCAGTCCTGAACCTGGCTGACCACAAGATCCCAGAAATGTGTGCTTTTTAAAGTATTCTTGGGGGATTTTAGTGCTCAGACAAGTGTGAGAACCACTGTTGTAGGTGAGTCCTTTTTATTTACTGCCCTTCTGTGTCTCAAACCCAAAAAAGTCCACCCTGCTGAGTCTGCCACCTAAAAGCGCTTAAGGCAGAGCCATTCCCAGGACCATGATATGTAGACTCTATCCTGCTGCTCCTTAATTTCTTCATTAGTTTATTTTCACACTCCTACCCCAATGATCTCCTCCTGCTTCCTTTTGTGTCCAACTTCCTTTCTTCCTTCAAACCTCAACTCAAGGGTGAGTCAAATCCTCTGCAGAGTGAACTGACGCCCTGCTCTAATGTAGACATCTCTCATCTACATTCCCATCGCATCTTGCAAAACCTTTCTAGAGGACTGGGCTGCACCACGTGGACTACTTCTTCTTCCTCTTTTTCTTTTTTTTGGAGATGGAGTCTGGCTCTGTCACCCAGGCTAGAGGGCAGTGACGTGATCTTGGCTCACTGCAACCTCCACCTCCCAGGTTCAAGCGATTTTCCTGCCTCAGCTTCTCTAGTAGCTGGGACTACAGGTGCGCATCACCACACCCAGCTAATTTTTGTGTTTTTAGTGGAGATGGGGTTTCACCATGTTGGCCAGGCTGGTCTCAAACTTCTGACCTTAGGTGATCTGCCCGCCTTGGCCTCCCAAAGTGCTGGGATTACAGGCATGAGCCACCGTGCCCGGCCACATGGACTTCTTCTCTCCAGGGTCACCCCTGTGTCTAGTAGGCGGTCACTAAATGGTTGTTGGATAAGAAGTTGAATGGGTGCTTCAGTGGGTAGACATCCTTGTCAGCTGAAGAGGACGGGAGGAGCTGTGTGGAAAACATGGGTTCTGAGTGAGTTCTGCTGAAAGAAAGGGGAAGATGGCCACGTGGGAGAAAAGGAATTGAGTGTTAGGAAGTTTTGTCCCTGGGAAGAAGCAAAAATAGAGCATGCTCTAGTTTTTGACATTCAGGCCATCCTGATCAGTCTGGAGAGTTTATAGAGGCTGGAGAGCATTGAGAGAGGAAATAATTTGACATTGCAAGGCAGTGTGGAGTCCTGAAGTGCAGCACAATGGTGGGCACTCTTGGTGCTCCATCTAGACGCCCTTCTGACCCCATTCTCTTCGCCAGGGCTGTGTACGCATCCCCTGTATGTGTTTGGTTTATAGCAAATAAGGCTGCCAGGGTTAGCAAATAAAAATATAGGAGGCCCATTTAAATTTAAATTGCAGAGATATAATAAAGACATTTTAGTATACGTGTTTTCCATCCAATATTTGGAATATATATATATATGTGTATATATATATGTATATATGAAAACATTATTCATTGTTTATCTGAAATTTAAATTTAACTAGGCATTCTGCATTTTATCTGGCATTCTCACTGCAAGCAGCCCACAGCTGTGACATCCTTATGAGGATGGTTCTTTGACTAGGGGCTGCCTGCTGCCTGGCCTTGTAGAGACCAGAGGTGTCTGAGGGTTTACATCCCCTTGGGGTCAGCCAGAGCCAGTGACTCATTGGTAAGGCAAGTACGAAAGCTTAGCATGGCTTCAGAAAGGGACGAAATCTTTTTTTTCCATGTTAAGATAGTTAACTAACTTTAAAACATTTTATGTATGTATGTATGTATGTATGTATGTATGTATGTATGTATGTATGTATGTATTTGAGACGGAGTCTCGCTCTGTCACCAGGCTGGAGTACAGTGGTGCCATCTTGGCTCACTGCAACCTCCGACTCCCTGGTTCAAGCGATTTTCCTGCCTCAGCCTCCTGAGTAGCTGGGATTACAGGCACATGCTACCATGTCCAGCTATTTTTTGTATTTTTAGTAGAGATGGGTTTCACTATTTTTTATTTATTTATATGAATTTATGAGGTACAAGTATCATTTTGTGACATGCACAGATTTCAGGGCTTTTAGGGTATCCATCATCCACCAGAACATTGTACCCCCATTAAGTAATCTCTCATCATCCACCCTCACCACCCCTACTTTTGAGTCTCCAGTGTCTATTATTCCACACTCTATGTCCACGTGTGCACATTATTTAGCTCCCACTTATAAGTGATAACATGTAGTATTTGTCTGTGTCTGATTTGTTTCATTTAAGGTAATGGACTTCAGTTTAATACATGTTGTTGGAAAATACATAATTTTATTCTTTTTATGGATCAATAGTATTCCATTTTCTATATATGCCACATTTTCTTTACCCTGTTTTCTGATCATGGGCATGTAGGTTGATATTCATAAAGATATTCACAATATCTTTGCTATTGTGAATAGTGCTACAACAAACGTATGGATGTAGGTAGCTTTTTTACATACTGATTTCTTTTCCTTTGGGCAGATACCCAGTAGTAGAAGTGCTGGATTGCGTGGCAGTTCTATTTTTAGTTCTTTGGGAAATCTCCATACCACTTTCCATAAAGGTTGTACTTATTTTCATTCTCACCAACAGTGTAGAAGAGTTCCCTTTTTTTCTACATCCTCACCTATATCTGTTATGTTTGGTCTTTTTATTAAAAGCCATTCTAACTGGTGTGGTTTTAACTTGTGTTTCTCTGATGATTAATGATGTTGACCATTTTTTTCATATGTCTGTTGGCTATCTGTATGTCTTATCTAGAAAAATGCCTATTCATATTCTTTGCCCACTTTTTAATGAGATGATTATTGTTATTTTTTAGTTTAG
Source organism: Homo sapiens (assembly GCF_000001405.40). Lineage (NCBI taxonomy): Eukaryota > Metazoa > Chordata > Mammalia > Primates > Hominidae > Homo > Homo sapiens. The sequence continues at coordinate 153,080,037 of NC_000007.14, forward strand.
TTGTTTGAGTTCCTTGTAAATTCTGGATATTAATCCTCTATTTGATGCATAGTTTGCAAATATTTTCTCCCATTTTTCAGGTTTGCTGTCCACTCTGTTGATTATTTATTTGGTGGTGGAGAGCTTTTTAGTTTAATTAAGTTCAAGATGGGAAAAAATCTGAAATGCATTTATATATCAGGGCTCCCTGTGGCCTCAGACGGAGGCTGTGACTTTCCCTGGAAATTTCCTCCATGGCCTGCCTGGTTCCCATTCCTCTCCCTCCTTGTTCCACCCCCTTAGTGGTCTGTCCTGCAGGCACTTCCCTAATAAATCATGTGTGCCAAAGTCCCCAGCTCAGGGTCTACTTCTGGGGGATCTCAACTAAGACATAGCAGAGTGCAGCAGGAAAGAGTTTTGGGATTCAAGTCTGAAGATCTAAGATGCCCCATTATTTAATAATCATATGTCTTGGGCAAATATTTCTCAACATTTTTGAAACAAGGCTAATATATCCATTTTTAAAATCACCTCCTCTTCACACTGTGCTGAGGCAGGGATTCTTCCCCTAGGGTTATGGGGATGGTGAAACACACAGCACCCAACACTGGACAGATGAGATTGACAGCACATTATCAATCACATAGACTCACAGCCCAGGGGAAGGCAGTGCCACATGCCATGAGGGCCACACAGTGATTGTGCTTGGGAACAGGATGAACAAGCAGGGGATGTAGGAGGCAGGCTTTGTGGTAACAAGAGGGTGAGGTGTGCCTGGCTCCTGCAGGAGGCTGAGGCTGGCTTGTCTGAATAATTGCACAGGCTGGCAGGGAACTGACACCTGCCACTCCTGGATAGGCAGGGCCTGTGCCAGGCCCTTGTGACAGGGAGGGTTGTTTGGCTCCGGGATCTTAGCTGTAGGAGTCGAGTGCGTGGGGAACTTGGAGCTAGGCCATTTGGGGCCTCCCAGTTTCACCAGATGACCCGTCAGCACCTAATCTTGAATCTTCATTTCAGACCTTAAGTTACTGCCATCCCCTCCTCAGAAGGTTGTGATAATGACAGAGATGGGATCACAATGTAAAATCAGAAAGCACTTCATGAGCAGAGAATGTTGTAAGGAGGAGAGCTGGAAGCTTTCAGGGATAACTTACTTTCTTTCCATACCTCAAATCTGAAATTTTGATGTTGCTTTACAGCTATACATGAATGTTTTAAGTCTGCCACTGTGAGTGTGGGTGAAGCAGAAACCTTCAGGGTCATTGCTCATCTGTAATTCAGCTGTGTCCTGCTGCCTACCTGCCAAGCTGCACCAGGCTGAGCCCCTGACAGCATGAAAGAGAATTTCTTACTTAGGTTGTTCTCTTTTTTTCTTTAAAAGAAAAAAAAATCCCTAAATAAACAACAACAACAAAAAATCCCTCCCCCCAAATATTCCCAAAGAACTGGGGGGAAAGTCACGTTAGTACCAGATGTAAAAAATAGGGGCCAAATACAGTATCACCTTTTAATTAAAAAATCATTTTTATGTTCAACTGTCACAACCCTTTTCCTTATTTAAACATTTTAAATGAAAACTAGAGTGTGAGTCTACTCCCCAGATCCGATGGCACTCATAACCCTCCAGAGAGTAATAGCCACGATCAATTACATGGTCGACTTGCTGGGCGTAATGGGAGGAATCTACCCAGGTAGTGGAGCATGGGGAATGTGAAATGTAAGCGCTGGTGAAGCATTTTACTCGGGCTGAAATAGAAGCAATTCAGAGCTTCGGGTGGAATCTTTACTCTTGATTTATAAGGGGAGATTAAAGAAAGAAGCCATGAAGTAATGCTTTATGGATTCGTAGATGAGGGCATGGAGCAGAATACAAAATGGAAAAAAAGTTTAGCCCATAGTCACAAGGCCTAGATTTGAGTCCTGACTTTATCAATTACTAACTCTGCAAATTTAAGCTGGTCATTTATCCTCCTTGGGCCCCAGTTTCTTTCTTTTGAGATGGAGTTTCGTTCTTGTCACCTAGGCTGGAGTGCAGTGGCACAACCTTGGCTCACTGCAATCTCTGCCTCTCGGGTTCAAGTGATTCTCTTCCCTCAGCCTCCCGAGTAGCTGGGATTATGGGTGCATACCACCAGGCCCATTAATTTTGTGTTTTTAGTAGAGATGGGGTTTCACCGTGTTGGCCAGGATGGTTTCAAACTTGAACTCTTGACCTCAAGTGATCGGCTCGCTTCGGCCGCCCAAAGTGCTGGGATTATGGGCATGAGCCGCTGCTATGGGTCCAGCCCCCAGTTCCTTTACTTATAAAATGGGTACATTTTTATTTGATATTAATAGGGAATCCCTATTACTCTCACTGGATTGGGAGGGTCAAATGATACAAGATAAGAAAAAATATTGTGGCTTTTTTTTTTTTTTTTTTTTTTGAGATGGAGTCTCACTCTGTTACCCAGGCTGGAGTGCAGTGGCACAATCTCGGCTCACTGCAAGCTCCACCTCCCGGGTTCACACCATTCTTCTGCCTTAGCCTTCCGAGTAGCTGGGACTACAGGCGCCTGCCACCATGCCCAGCTAATTTTTTTTTATTTTTAATAGAGATGGGGTTTCACCGTGTTAGCCAGGATGGTCTCCATCTCCTGACCTTGTGACCTGCCCACCTCGGCCTCCCAAAGTGCTGGGATTACAGGCGTGAGCCACCGCACCCGGCCAGAAAAAAATATTGTTTTAAGAACTGTACATGCATTATCTCTTTTTGTTCTGTTATCCTCAGTGGTAGCTGTGGTAGTTTGGGAGATGGGAGTTCCGTTCATATGAGAATCTGGGGAGGGATGTGAGGTATATGTTTTAGACTTCTTCTCAGCCTAAAGAGTATCCAACATTGACACATCGCCAAACTGAATTATTTTCCTAAAGAAACTTGAAGTCGCCATGGAGGAGGAGGCAGCTGGAGACCACTCAGCCACACTGCCGCGCAGCAGGGCGGAGGTGATTCCTACAGCGTGCATTATAGATTAAGGAGCTGGGCGTCTTGGGGAGTTGCTAAACAAGGGTTAGCCAGGGAGAAGGTTTAGCTGCCTCTCATCTCTTACCCCTGTGCAGAGGTCAGGGGAATCCCCAGGCCAGGGGAATGCCTCTGTCCAGGGGTAAGAGATGTGAGGCAGCTTACCTGTTTTCTGCTTGAAAAGGGAAAAAATTGCAAACAAAAAAAACCCTAACCCCAACCCCAACCCCAACCTGAACATGCCGTGAGCAACTTTCCAGAGAGGAGCTGCCTCTGCTCTCCCTTCTTATAGGGCAGCCCAGAGCAACCTTATAAGTAGGAGGAAAGAATGACCAGGTGGCCATTCAGCAGCTGGATTAAATGACAGATGTTTACAGGAGAAATCTGAAAGAAACAGCTGTCCAAAGCCCTTCGTGCCGGGCGGGGAGCTATGGGTCTCTCAGGAAGCTGAGGTGCAGTCCATGCTGCTAGGAACGAGGTCCCCAGCTCAGTCCCCTGAGGTGGCCCTGCCTTGTCAAGGCAGCTGTGAATCAGCTCCCCGGGCCGACCTCCAGTAGCACCGTGTGCCACTGCCAAGTGCTCATGGGTGTGCTGGGAGCTGGCGTTGCTCACGGGGAGCAGGTGAAGCTGCTGCTGGAGCCGTCTCTGGGCACTCGGGTCAGCCCTTTCTCCAAAGCGCACTGGCACGGGATGTGCAGCAGCCGCAATGGAGACTCACCTGGAAAACATCTATTACTACCCTATAGGAGGCTGTTCTTGCCTTGCTACTAAGCAATACCTGAGGCTGGGCAATTTATGAAGAAAGGAGGTTTAATCGGCTCCCAGTTCTGCAGGCTGTGCAGGGAGTGTGGCGCCAGCATCTGCTCTGCTTCCCGGGGTGAGTCAGGAAGCTTACAGTCGTTGGGGGAGACAAAGGGGAAGCTGGCGGATCACATGGCAAAAGCAGGAGCAAGCAAGGAGGGGAAAGAGGCCACACGCTTTTTAAACAGCCAGATCCTGTGAGAACCCACTATGGAGAGGGCAGCCCCAAGGGGATGGTACTAAACCATCCATAAGAAATACACCCCCAGGATCCAGTCACCTCCCACCAGCCCCATCTCCAGCATGGGGGGTTACAGTTCAACATGAGATTTAGAGGGACAAATATCCAAATTATATCATGCCCCCAGTTCACGGAGCTGTGAGCAGGGCTGTGGGCTCAAAGGTAAGCTCAAGAATGGCCTCATGTTGAGAAAGAGAATCCCCAGGTGCCGGGATCCCCCCCCCACCACTCCACAGCCAGGTGAGAACAGGAAGGTGCCTCTGCCCCTTCCACAGCCCCTGGTGTACCTCTGTTGGATGTAGGGCCTCCCTGGAGAGCTGCTTTTTCAGAGGCCAAGCAGAGCAAGAAGGATTTGTGTCTGTGTTTTCCTTTCTGAAACATCGGGCATGTCAGCAGCAGCGGGTGCAGTGAAGCGGAGCTGCCTAAGAGACTTTGATGGGGCGATCGCCTGTGCGGGCCTAGGGAGGGCTCTCCTCCCAGGGCAGGGGCACTCACTTGCACAGCCCAGAGCCACCCCACACTTGATCTCCAGCTTAAACTTAAAGCACATGCAGTCAACACAGTTGTTAGGTTTTGCAAAATAACCCACACACCATGGGCCTGACACTCTTATTTGTTCTGTACCATCCTCTTTTTTTTTTTTTTTGAGGCGGAGTCTTGCACTGTTGACCGGGCTGGAGTGCAATGGTATGATCTCAGCTCACTGCAACCTCTGCCTCCTGGGTTCAAGCGATTCTCCTGCCTCAGCCTCCGGAGTAGCTGGGATCACAGTCCCCCACCACCACACCCAGCTAATTTTTTGTATTTTTAGCAGAGACAGGGTTTCACTATGTTGGCCAGGCTGGTCTTGAACTCCTGACCTCATGATCTGCCCACCTTGGCCCCCCAAATTGTTGGGATTACAGGTGTGAGCCACCGCACCCGGCCTGTTCTGTACCTTCTTACTGAGTGACTGATGTGTGAAAAGCCGTGCATCTTTAATACATACAACTTGATGCATCTGGGGATATGTGCACAACCATGAAACCCTCACCACCATCAAGGCCATAAACATATCCATCACCTCCCAGAGTTTCCTCCTGGTCCCTTTATTATTATTATCACCAATGTTATTATTACTTTTTGTGGTAACAGCAGCCTTGAACAACATTGTGGTAGACCTCATGGATCTAACATATTTGCAGAACACTCCATCCAACAGCAGCAGGAGACACATTCTTCACAAGTGCACATGGAACAGTCTCCAGGGCAGATCAAATGTTAGGCCACAAAACCAGTCTTAGTAAGTTTAAGATTAAAATCATATCAAGTATCTTTTTTGACCACAATGGTATGAAACTAGAAATCAATACCAGGAGCAATTTTGGAAAAGTCACCAACATATGAAATGAAACGAAACACTTCTTCACAACCAATGGTTCAAACCACAACCGATGGGTCAAACAAGAAATCAAAAAGGAAATAAAAAATTATCTTCAGGCAAAGGAAGGTGTTATGTAGCTTTTTAATAGGACCTTCTGGGTGGTGTGAACCCCTCAGTTACACACCTAGATTTCTAAAAACTAATGGCATTGAGAGGGGAGAGAAGGCGCACAATTGACTTCAGTGTGAAAGTGTTCTGGGGAGCAGAAAGGCAGAGAAACGAGTCATAATGTCAGGTTGTCCGAGGCCGGCAAGGCTTTATCTTCCAAGGGATCACACAGTGCTAAGAAAATGAGAAAAGGGAAGGAGTTTCTGAATGAGTCTGCTGACTTGCCGAAACCTGAGCTACGAACACTTGGGGTCAGGAATAATAACTCCTGTGCTGGGATATTGGGTTTTCCGTCTCTCCTAGCTTCAAGGATAAGGTAGTGGAGTTAAGTTAACCCGAGGTCTTAATTTTATTAAATGATCACTGCGGTGCAGTGGGTTGAATATGGGATTCAGAAATAGAAGGTTTGGCTTCATTTGGTCCACAAATAGTCATTGCTGTGTTCACAGATTGGTACACAGTGATGTATAATAGCGGAGACAGACAGATTGCAAGCTCTGTGACAGCGATGACGAACGTGGGACGTGAAAAAGCATGGTGGGATGATCCCGGGCAGGAGATGCTATTTGCTTAGTCATTTGTTTATTCATTCATTCAAATATCTATGCACTTACCAGGATGTGCAGGTACCATTTTGGGCATTGGAAACACAGCAGTGGGCAAAACAGACAAAAAAAAAAAAGTGCCTTTATGGTGTCGATGATAAAAAATAAAACAGTAAATGAGATGGATTTTGCTTAGTTGTGTCATGGAGAATAACTACGCGGGAAAGGAGAGAGGGAGTATGGCAGAGATGGGAGGGTGGCATTTTAAATAGGGTGGTTAGGGGAGAAGGAAAGGGTGGCCAGGGGCACCTGACCTGTCACTGGGCAGGGAGGAGCTGAGGACGCCGGGGCTGTGACCTCGGCCTGCTCCTCTGACCTTGTGCAGCCTCCTTTCCTCCACACCTGCAGTGGTGGCCTTACCTCCTTCGCCAGCCCCAAGGGCGTGAGACAACCAGAGGCCTGGAGGATGAGCATGCGCTATTGGAATGCCAGTTATCACCAGAGCACGACTTTGACATTTGATGGGAATAAATGAAAATGTTGAAAGGCTGTGACAGATACTGGAGGCTTTTCTGAATATTTGAGTAGAAGTAAAATAACAGAGCCCCGCGGAAAGTTCACACCAGCAATCAGATAAGGCAAAAGTCAGCAACTAATACATAATTCCAAATTAAACTGTCCGCTTGAAGGGGGCCTAGGCAGGTTAGGCCCGGAGGCAGTGTTAGCCTTAGAGATGGGATTCCGTAAGAAAGGTTAAAGATGTCAACACAGCAAGCGTTACTGAGAGCTCATCCAGCTCTGTGCTGTGGAAGATTCAAACAAAGCAAGATCAGGTAAGAGTCTAGAATCTTAGGAGATAAATGTGACTCAATAGCTTTAGAGAAAAACAGAATAATTCAAGACTTCTGTCTGAACTCTAAGATTGGGGCTTGGGGGATAATTCCCGAGCACACAAGGCTAGAGCTTGATGACTTACATAAGTCCACGTGTGATCACCCAAATACTTTTGGGGCGGATATTAATCTTTGAGTCTGTATGGATATGAATTCAAATATAGATAAGGCCTGTCCAGCTCTTTCAACTATATTCGAAAGCTTGAATTCAGGAAATGAATATAAGCTGGGGGCAGAACACTAGGCAATGTAAAGTACTGTTATCCCTCAGTGTTCATGGGGGATGGGTTCCAGGACCCCCATGGACCCCAGAATCCACAGATGCTCAAGTCCTTTCTAGAAAATGGGTGTAGTATTTGTGTGTAACTATGCACATTCTTCCATGTCCTTTAAATCATCTCTAGATTACATATAACACCCAATACAATGTAAATGCTATGGACAGAATTGTTATGCTGTATTGTTTAGGTAATAATGACTAGAAAAAATGTCTGTATGTGTTAGCACAGATGCAACCATCCATTTTTCCCCCGGTATTTTTAATCCTTGGTTGGTTGAATCTGTGAATATGGAGCCCACTGATAATAACATAAAAAACAAGATTCTTATTCATGATTTCATAATTTTTAGGACCAGCTTATTAACGTTCAATCTTAGGTTCCTGAATTTTGGCAGTCTGCCAATTGGGTGATTCACACTGGCCGGTGGATGGGATTTACACTCTGCACTGGGGGCTGCAGAGGACCTAGAGGAGAAGGGAGGAAAAGGACCAGCCATGGGGGAGATTTTGGGGGTCTGCGCTTAGAGGGTCAGTGCAGGTTTGGAGGAGAAGGGGGGGTGAGGGTCTTGGGGTGAGTGGTAGGAAGGCCAATGAGTCAGGTGCACAGGCTGCACGCTGTTCTGTCCCCCTAGCCCTCCAGGCTCGGCACTGTGGACGCTGTGCTCCCTGAACATGCAGTTCAGAACATGACTTCTCCAGTTTGATAAAGAATCAATCATTGGTCCAGACCCAGCCACCTTCAGCCATCACCAAGAGGCAGGGCAGTTGAGGAAATGGGGTGGGGTGGAGGGGAGGGAGAGGTGGGCACAACAGCACTAGCTGCTTTCAAAACTCATATAAGGCCCCTCGTGGTCCTCAAAGCCACTGTGTCACGCTGAGGGAGAGCAGGTGGGGAAGTGGAGGCGGGAGAAGGGCAGGACCGTCCTGAGTGGCAGGGCTGCCCGAGGTCATCAAGTGCATCTGCAGCAGCCAGTTTGCTAAGCTTTGCTAAGTGCTCTGCCACGTGCTGCCAGTATAGACGCAGAGAACTCATCCGGGAGGAGACACCAGGCCTGCGAGAGAGCGATCCACTAAGATCATGCAGGTGTTGCCCAGTACTGCCCCGGGAGCTGTGTGGCTCTGAATTGATGGGTGTTGTTGGAAGGAAGCCTATGTGGGAAAAAGTCACGAGGGTGGGTAGGGGGCTTAGGCTGAGCAGGGAGGGGGTGGGACATACACAGACAAAAGGAAGGGGTGACTTAGAGCCTCCTGGATGAGGACAGGTGAGGAGGCCCACCGTCCAGAGGGAACAGGTGGCAGGCAGGACTGCAGCCAGATTCTATAAGACATGGTCATACAGAGCCCCGGCTTTGGTTTCTGATCTGCAGACAAAGGGGAACCACGTGAGATATTGAGCCTTTACATGGCGCAGGTAAGTGATTCCAGGAAAATCCCCCTGAGAGCAGATTGAAGGGTATTTCAAAGAAAAGAGAAGATAAGGGGAACCAGATAGGAGGCCATGCAGCAGCCCCGAGTGACGTAAGTCAAGCCAGGAAGGGGAAGTGCTGAGTGATGGTGCACAGGTGCCTCTGAAGGACTTGGTGGCCCTTTGTCCAATCCTGAGAGTAAAGGAGGTGGAGCAGAGAGCCCTCTGGGGTTTCAAGGCTAGGAGAAAGGCTGTCCATTAAATGAAATGGGATCTTTAAAAAGTCTGGATCTTGGCCAGGCACGGTGGCTCACACCTGTAATCCTAGCACTTTGGGAGGCCTAGGTGGGTGGATCACTTGAGGCCATGAGTTCAAAATCAGCCTGGCCAATATGGCCAAACCCCATTTCTACTAAAAATACAAAAATTAGCTGGGCGTATTGGCACACGTCTGTAGTCCCAGCTACTTGGGAGGCTGAGGCATGAGAATCCCTTGAACCCAGGAAGTGGAGGCTGCAGTGAGCCGAGATTGTGCCACTGCACTCCAGCCTGGGCAACAGAGCGAGATTCCGTCTCAAAAAAAAAAAAGTAAAAAAGTCTGGATCTTAAAATGATAAAATAAGGATTAAAAAATAAATAACATTGCAGTGTTTTATCAACCTAAACAACAAACAGAGGCTCTCTAAAAGAAATTTGTTTGGAAATAGAGCATTTGCTATGGGAATCCACATGCGACAGTAAAGGGCGTGTGTATTCAGGGAGGTAAAAGAAGACAATGGTTTTTAAAGGAGAAAATGAGATTCCATAATTGTTTTGAAATAATTATCCTTGGCTGCAAAGATCAGTAACAAGGACAACATTGGTCTGAGGCTGGACAGGCAGTTGCAGGGCAGATGGTCCTGGAGAAGTGTTTTTTTTGTGTAAGGTTTTGATGTGCGAGGTTATGGTTTTTGCAGTCTTTTGTGATAGTTTTCGTTATCAGACATATATGCATGAGAACCCTCTCTTCATGGTCTTCCCCGGCTCTATTTGCCAGGTTTTTCCTAACATTAGTGACTTCATTTTGATTCTGACAACATTCACAGTTTGTGATTACTTGATTGATATTATTAACGGCTTATCTTGACTTGCTATTCATGTTCACAAAATTAGATAACTTGGATTGTCACTGTTTCCTCCTTCTAATTTCAAATGACAATTCTGCAAAATCTGTTAGTTTTCCTGGAGAGGTCAGGAAACTGCCACCCTCTGAGGAGATTTCACCAACAGAACTATTTTGATTGGATTGGAATAGGGTTTTGTTTAACTGAGTAATATAGGAATGCTTTATTTAGGAAGGCATGCACACACAGTTGGCCAAAATCCTGCCATTCTTATGAAAGGACACCAGCCTGTTCATTCGTTACCTGTCAAGGGCATTTGGCTCCAAATCCTGGTCTAATAATGTATTCGTACAGCTGTGGAAGATTCCCCTCTGTAATCATTTGATCTCTGCCTCAGCACCCATAGTGGACATTGTTGGCTGGTCCCCAGCAGTAACTTTCCCTTTTCCATTCCTAAAAGAAACTCAGGTTTTGTTCAGGTGTTTTCACCTCTTCCTCTCACAGTCCATGTGCAGCAGGGAACCATGGTCCCCACGCTAGATATGGGCCCTTTTTAATCTATGCCTGATTGTGCTTCTCCTCTTTGCCCATGATTGGTTGAGGAAAGGACATGTGATCTAATTCTGGCCAATGGGGCATGAGGAAGGGTTTCTAGAGCCTTCTGGAAAAGGAAGTCCCTCACTTGTCTTGGAAAAGCTGCTGGAAGCCACCGAAGTCTCTCTTTATAGCTATTCTGAAGAAGCGCTGAGCACACATGTGTCTGTGGGGGAACCAGCCTCCCCTTTATAAACAGGGGAGAAACAGAGAACCAGTATTTTTGATACCATCATTGAGCTGCTGAATTAACCAGTTTGGACATCTGCCCTACCTGTAGACATCCAATTACAGGGCCAAATAATTTTCTTATTGTTCCTTTCATTTTAATTCAGTTTGAGTTCACTCATTCTATTTACAGTCAAAAGTATACTAATGTCCATCACGCCTTTTCAAGAAATCAGTAGTTTCTTGTGCTCCATACCTAAAATACTCCAAAACACTTTTTTTCCTTGTCATATGAAAGGTACAGAAGAATAAATGATAGTTTGTATATTTTCATTCACTTCCCGAAACATGGCACAGAATTAGACATAATGTAAATGACCAGCCACAGGGAGGCACAAGAGCTCTCTGTTACAACATGTCCTTTCTAGGAACAACAGGAAAAGAAAATTAAAATCCCTCTGGCTTGGGGAAAAAAGGAGGAATCATTATATTTTTAATGGTGTCATTGAAGGTCTTCCAAAATACTAGATGAAACTATTAACAACCTGACTTTTACATTTCCACCAGTAGTTTCTGAAGCAATATTAAAACCTCTAAATTAAAACTAGGAGTGATGAAGAGATAGAGACAGAGATAGATTTAATAATCCGTGCAACTGAAATTAGGGCGTTTGCAAACCCTAAAATGTTGGGAATGTCTAACAATGATTTGAAAATTAGATAGTGGCCTGGTTGATTTCATAAAGTCCTTTGCCTTCCTATAGCCTTCCCAACTGAATATATTAATTTATAGAATAAAAAGCAGATTTGGAAGCTCTCAAAGCTGCACACGGTCATTCTTTCTAGTGCAAAGACTCTTCCTCCAGTGGATAATCTGAGTCAACGTGGTGGTAGGCACAAGTCTTTGTGAAGATAAAATTAGATTTTCCTGTGACCGCTCCTAAAAATGGCAGATCATATTGTTTCATTTTCTTCGTCACAGAGTCCAAGAGTAGATAGCTGCAATCCTGAAAAACGCAAGCAGCATTTTTAACATTTTAGATATTCCTGAAACGCAGGTGCAGATGTGAGCGAGCAGGCGCTGAGCAAGGCAGGAGATGACTCAAGACTGCCGCGTGGTTCTTTCTGCAATTTGCTGCCGTTGCAGGCTCTGACTCTCTGCTACCCTGGGCAGAAGCATGCGATGAATCGATCTCAGTGGTAATTTCAGCCACAGAGCTGGGTGCGCAAGTGACAGAATTGTGCAGGTGGACAGGCCCACTGCGAATACAGAAAGGAGAACCAGCAAGAGCCTGTTTGACTCGGGAAAGACAGCGTCCTGAGGCTTGCACAGCCTGTGGGACTGGGGAAATCTCTCCACTCTCAGGACAGACCAACCCCCACCAGGTCCTGCATGCCGAAAGATGCAGACCCCCCTTGGCCTTTGGGCTACGAGGGCAAGTAAAACCACACGCGAATGCTACAGCCCCCATGGTCCGTTACCTGTGCCCCAAGAGCTTCTCTCCCCTCACTAACTCTTACTCCAGACTTAGAGCAGGGTCTAAAATGGAAATTTTTCCATGGATGCTGACTTTTGTCAAAAGCATATTTGAAAGGAACTTCACGTTTGGGTTTCCTTTAATCTCTCATTGTATACAATACAAAGAATGGCTGTGTTCAATTCTGTTAGTGTTTATTTCCAGTTCCATGGCAGAAACCGTTAACATTTGGAATTACTGCTTAATCATAAATCCCTGAAGAAGGCTTTAATCCAAAATTCAATCAAAGCAAGAAAGCTCCCTGTACATATGGCCTTTCTGCCAATCTTTTCTTCTGTATACATTACTCGGGAAATGCAATGTGAAGGAGAGATGCAGCATCGATTAGAAATGAAGCAGGTGATCTGGGATGATGTGCACTTGAAGCCATTCATCTCTCCGATTCAAGAAAGGATTTTACATTAGAAGCAAAGATGCGAAGAGTGAACAAAATGTTAGAATACATGTGTCGGAAGATGTGATTAAAGTTACATCCTTGTTTAACCAATATATTAGATTTAATCAATCCCTTAATTCCCCAATATTGTAAACATTACTATATTCAGAAATAATTAAGCTCTACAAAGGACAAAAATATTTAATATTTTTGAAGACTACCAAAAAAACAAAATAAAAGCAGAGGTGCCACAGGAATTTGGCAAAGACAATTACATCTCAGGTGCAGGCGAGAATAGGTCATTCTTCTGTTGCCCTCAATATATGTCTCTGAAAGATGGAAACCTGCGTTTAGCTTTTTTTTTTTCTTCTGAGATGGCGTCTTGGTCTGTCACCCAGGCTGGGGTGCAATGGTGCGATCTCGGCTCACTACAACCTCTGCCTCCCGGGTTCAAGCAATTATCCCGCCTCAGCCTCCTGAGTAGCTGGGACTACAGGCACCTACCATGCCCGGCTAATCTTTGTAATTTTAGTAGAGACAGGGTTTCGCCATGTTGGTCAGGCTGGTCTCAAACTCCTGACCTCAGGTGATCCACATGCCTCAGCTTCCCAAAGTGCTGGGATTACAGGTGTGAGCCACGGCACCCAGCCTGTATTTAGCTTTTAATAGTAAATACACATTATTTGACTTTACAGTACATGAAACAAAAACAAGACATTTAGGAAGAAGAGGAAAAAGTTGGGGTTAAGGTTTTTTTTTTTTTTTTTTTTTTTAGGGTAATCAGGTCCTAGAGACAGAGGGAAATTTGAGATGGATACAGAGGAGTACACCCAGGAAATGAGCTTCTCATTGCTTCCATTACATCAGGGCCAAGGCACCTGGATATAGAGTGGGCTTTTGGATTCTCACAGCTGTTTTTTTCTGGTCAGTGGGAGAGTAGACCCACTTCCTATCAGCCTCCAGTCAATACTCTACCCAATGTCATTCTTCTTTGGTCTGGCCAATGCCTGTGCTGTTCATGAGACTTTGCTCAGAGTCCTAGATTCCAAATACATCATGGTACCCTTTGGTCTGGAATGCTACTTCCAAATAGATTTCATTAGAGGAAAAATTTTAGGGCTGGGCCTGGTGGCTCACTTCTGTAATCTCAGCACTTTGGGAGGCTGAAGCTGGCAGATCACCTGAGGTCAGGAGTTTGAGACCAGCCTGGCCAACATGGTAAAACCCCGACTCTACTAAAAATACAAAAATTAGCTGCGTGTAGTGGTGCGCCCCTGTCATCCCAGCTACTTGGGAGGCTGAGGCACGAGAATCACTTGAACCCAGGAGGCAGAGACTGAAGTGAGCTGAGATCGCACCATTGCACTCCAGCCTGGGTGACAGAGCAAGACTCCATCTCAGAAATACATAAATGAATAAAATAAGAAAATAAAATTTTATGAAGGAGTTCCAGTCTTCTTCCTGTTAATTCCTCAAGACCTAGTTTTTGAAGTAGGAGATACAGTATTCCCTAACCCACTCTACACACACACAGTCTGCTAAAAGACCTGCCAGTGGTCACCCAATTAATGCAGCATGGCAGATAGAAGACCTCTCTCATCACTCTCAAACGCCCTTACATCCGACTTTTATTAATGGTTCTCCTAACCTATATGCATGATCCTTCTGCCTAAAATGTCACAAGCACCACTTTCTCCAATGCAGCCCCTTCCAGATCCCATCAGATAAACTACAGAACCTTCCTTGGTCCCCAGTGGTCCCTTCGTAAGCATCCATCATAGCGTGGCTATGTGTTAACTGCTCTCGTTTGTGTGTCTGAATCCTTCTCCTGGATACTAAACCTCTCTAGCACAGATGCTGTTTATTTTCATCACACTGTCCCTGGGGTGCTGTCCAGAGTCAGGCACATAAGCAGTTCTTCACTGTGCTCTGATGCTTGAAGGTTGCCTTGTAGGGTTACATCTTCCTCAGCATGAATGGGGAGCAGTGACACAGGTGCCTCCAGCCCTCTGGTGTCCTAGAGAAATCCCAGATAATGAAAATCGGCAGCAAATCTCTTCTTTTGATACTGATTGTACCTAAAAGATCTCCCTCCTAACCTAAAAGATCTCCTTATAGTTTTTCATAAATGACACATGCCTTAGGACTAAACATGTAAAAAACTTTAAAAGAATCCTAAAAATGGCTTTTCCCCTTGTATTTTTCTGAACACCTAAATCTTTAAGCCACTGGTGAGGTGGAGCACACTGGTGT